>NW_015148967.1:0-157805 GCF_000001405.40 Homo sapiens
TTATACACCAATAGCAGACAAACAGAGAGCTAAATCATGAGTGAATTCCCATTCACAATTGCTTCACAGAGAATAAAATACTTAGGAATCCAACTTACGAGGGATGTGAAGGACCTCTTCAAGGAGAACAACAAACCACTGCTCAATGAAATAAAAGAGGATACAAACAAATGGAAGAACATTCCATGCTCATGGGTAGGAAGAATCAATATCGTGAAAATGGCCATACTACCCAAGGTAATTTACAGATTCAATGCCATCCCCATCAAGCTACCAATGACTTTCTTCACAGAATTGGAAAAAACTACTTTAAAGTTCATATGGAACCAAAAAAGAGCCTGCATCGCCAAGTCAATCCTAAGCCAAAAGAACAAAGCTGGAGGCATCACGCTACCTGACTTCAAACTATACTACAAGGCTACAGTAACCAAAACAGCATGGTACTGGTACCAAAACAGAGATATAGATCAATGGAACAGAATAGAGCCCTCAGAAATAACGCCGCATATCTACAACTATCTGATCTTTGACAAACCTGAGAAAAACGAGCAATGGGGAAAGGATTCCCTATTTAATCAATGGTGCTGGGAAAACTGGCTAGCCATATGTAGAAAGCTGAAACTGGATCCCTTCCTTACACCTTATACAAAAATTAATTCAAGATGGATTAAAGACTTAAACATTAGACCTAAAACCATAAAAACCCTAGAAGAAAACCTAGGCATTACCATGCAGGACATAGGCATGGGCAAGGACTTCATGTCTAAAACACCAAAAGCAATGGCAACAAAAGACAAAATTGACAAATGGGATCTAATTAAACGAAAGAGCTTCTGCACAGCAAAAGAAACTACCATCAGAGTGAACAGGCAACCTACAAAATGGGAGAACATTTCTGCAACCTACCTATCTGACAAAGGGCTAATATCCAGAATCTACAAAGAACTCAAACAAATTTACAAGAGAAAAACAAAAAACCCCATAAAAAATTGGCCAAGGACATGAACAGACACTTCTCAAAAGAAGACATTTATGCAGCCAAAAGACACATGAAAAAATGCTCACCATCACTGGCCATCAGAGAAATGCAAATCAAAACCACAATGAGATACCATCTCACACCAGTTAGAATGGCAATCATTAAAAAGTCTGGAAACAGGTGCTGGAGAGGATGTGGAGACATAGGAACACTTTTACACTGTTGGTGGGATTGTAAACTAGTTCAACCATTGTGGAAGTCAGTGTGGCGATTCCTCAGGGATCTAGAACTAGAAATACCATTTGACCCAGCCATCCCGTTATTGGGTATATACCCAAAGGATTATAAATCATGCTGCTATAAAGACATATGCACACGTATGTTTATTGCAGCACTATTCACAATAGCAAAGACTTGGAACCAACCCAAATATCCAACAATGATAGACTGGATTAAGAAAATGTGGCACATATACACCATGGAATACTATGCAGCCATAAAAAATGATGAGTTCATGTCCTTTGTAGGGACATGGATGAAATTGGAAATCATCATTCTCAGTAAACTATCGCAAGGACAAAAAACCAAACACCGCATGTTCTCACTCATAGGTGAGAACTGAACAGTGAGAACACATGGACACAGGAAGGGGAACATCACACTCTGGGGACTGTTGTGGTGTGGAGTGGGGGAGGGATAGCATTAGGAGATATACCTAATGCTAAATGACAAGTTAATGGGTGCAGCACACCAGCATGGCACACGTATACATATGTAACTAACCTGCATATTGTGCACATGTACCCTAAAACTGAAAGTATAATAATAATAAAATAAAAAAAGAATGACATTATTAGCTTTATTCCATTAAAAATTTTATAATCAATAGATTAGTATATGATGTTAATTCTTATGATCTGATGAGGATGATTTAGCCTATATTCAGAAACAGAGACTATTTTTTTTCATAGAACGTTAGTATTCTATGAACAATTAGGTGGAAAAAGCAGTTTTAATATAAATATCCATTTATGGTGGCAACAATAGTGTAGATATGGAGCAGTGACTGTATTTATATACCTGGTCTACCAAATTTATATGAATGCAGACTTTAAACTGTTTGAAAATATATGTATTATTTATATTAATCTTTTTATTTCCCAGTGTTAGTACAATACTAGAGAGTAGTGACTACTAAATATTATCTAATCAATACCATTCTGTTGTTTGCATTTTGTTAAATAATCAAATGTTTCAAGAAACATTATATAATGGTTTCCCATGATTTCTGCTTTATATATATTTTAGGCCTCTCAAAACATATTAAATATTATACATGATCCATAGAAGTAGAATTGCAGAAGGAAGTTAAAAGACAATTTAAAAATAATTGTTGGCTGTGTTTTTGCATAGATAATGTAGTAATCATAGAAAATGGTAATGAATTTCAGATGATTCAGGAATATATGTTAAACACCATAAGCATCAACTTATGTATGAATTCTTTCAATATGAGGACCAAAGTTTTATTCTTGAATATAGTTAATAATCTTAATCTTCCCTATTTGAAATTTAGGTGTCAAATTAGAAAAAGGGAAAAAATAATAATTTTGGAATTAAGTGTATAAATTTTAAGTTGTTTTTCTAGAAATCTTTAGTTATAAGATATATTATTATAAATATGACATGAGCTTGAAGGAAGGTGGTGTGGGTTGAATTGTGTCTCCTTCCCCAAACTCATATGTTGAGTTCATAACTGTCAATACCTCAGAATGTAATTGTATTTGGAGATAGGGTCTTTACAGAGATCATTAAGTTAAAATGAGGTCATTAGGGTGAGTCCTAATTCAATATGACTGGTGTCCTTATAAGAAGAGGTAATTCAGGTACAGATCTATAGAGAGATGATATGAAGACATGGAGATAAGACAGCCATATTCAAGCTAAGGAAAGAGGCCTGGAACATATCCTTTCCTCATGGGCCTCTGAATAAACCATCCCTGTCACCACCATGATCTCAGACTCCTAGCCTACAGAATTGTACACAAATTTCTGATGTTTAAGCCACTCATTCTGAGGCACTTTGTCAAAGCAACCCTAGCCAAACTAATACAGATTTTGGTACTGAGAAGTGGGGTGCTACTATAACACACATTGAAAAATATGAAAGTGGCTTTGGAATTGGGTTTTATGTAGAGGCTGGAAGAGTTGTAAAATGTATGTTACAAAGAGTCTAGATTTCCTTGGAAAGATTGATGGTAGAAATATGGTCATTGAAGGAATCTCTGGTAAGGACTCAGAAAAAAAAAGATAGCTGTAGAAAAAGTCTCTATCCTCTTAAAAAATATATATGTCATTGTGTACAGAATGTAAGTAAGGATGGGCATGGTGGTTGATGCCTGTAATCCCAGACTTTGGGAGGCCAAGGTGGGAGGATTACTTGAAGCCAGGAGTTTGAGACCAACTTGTTTATGTAAAAAAAAGTACATAAATATATATGTGTGTGTGTGTGTGTGTGTGTGTGTGTGTGTGTGTATGTGTGTGTGTATGAATATTGGTAGAATGTTAAAGATGCTTTGGTAAGGTATTAGAGGGAAAAGAGAAACATTACTGAAACTGGAGGAAAAACGACCTTTGTTATACAGTAATGCAAAGTTTAGCCAAATTGTGTTCTAGTGTTTTGTGGAAAATAGAACTTTTATAAATTTGGATATTTAGCTGATAAGATTTGTATTTTTTATAAAAAGTATTGATAGTATTCCTTCTCCTTGTTGCTTATGGCAAAATACTAAAGGAGAGAGATAAGTGGAAGAAAGAATTGCTAAACAAAAAGGAAGCAGTATCTGAAGATATGGAAAATCCTCAGCATATCCATACTGCAAAAAATCAGAAAACCTGTTCTGGAGGAAACATCAAGGTTGTGGCTGAATGACCATTTGCTAAAGAGATTGTATGTATGGCTCATGGGTCTATTCAACCATCTCACCAGAAGCTGGGATTGAAGATGTGGTTATCCAGGAAAGATCTGTGAAGGATCCTCCTGGACTGTCCTCATGTTTGATGGCTTGGACGTCTGTGAATTGCATGGTAGGCCAGAAAAGTTTTTTGAGAATTCGATACATGCTGAAACACACCCAGCTTGTACTGAAGAAAATAAAGATGAAACAAAATAAACGGATGGAACAAAATTCTACAGGAGGGAAAAGCAGATTAATTGGCTGTGAATGTGCATTATCCCTTAATAAAAAGATTGAATGACCTTGCAGGCAGTGCAGAAGTTGGCATTTCTGCCACTACAACAGGCCCGCGAGTAGGTTTGTCTCCTCCTTGGTTCTAAATGGCAAGGCCTCCTCTAAAGTTTCAAAGGAACAGGCCATTGCCACCTAAGGCTGAGGAGATGAGGCTGCCACCCTGAGGGGGCCCAAAGAATAGGACTGCTACCATGATGGTCCAGAGGACTTAAGATTTGGCTCCAGAGCAGTCAAAGAGGATAATTTTTAAGA
Organism: Homo sapiens; assembly: GCF_000001405.40. Lineage (NCBI taxonomy): Eukaryota > Metazoa > Chordata > Mammalia > Primates > Hominidae > Homo > Homo sapiens. Next base: position 4,483 of record NW_015148967.1, read on the forward strand.
TTTAAAATCTGATAGAATTTTCCCTACTAGCTTTTGGACTTGCTTGGAATGCATAACCTCTTTATTTCTGTTTTCTTCCTTTTGAAATTGAAACGTATATCCAATTCCTATCCCACCATTGTATTTTCAAAGAAGACAACTTGTCTGGTTTCACAAGTTCACAGCTGGAGAGTAATTTTGCCTCAGGATGAATCATACCTGGAGTCTCACCCACACGTGGATCAAATGGCATTTAAATGAGATTTGTGACTTAGAGTTGATTCTGGAATGAGTTAAGACTAGGGGCTGCTGGGATGGGGTGAATGTATTTTGCATGTGAGAAAGGCATACATTTGTGGGGGGCAGAGCATGACATGCTGTGGGCTGGGCTGAATTATTTCCCCCTTCCAATTCATATATTGCAGGCTTAATCCCTAGTACCACAGAATGTGACTATATTTGATGGTCACTTTACAGATATAATTAAGTTAAAATGAGTTACTTGGGGTAGGTCTTAATCCAACATGACTGATGTCTTAAAATGAGCTCATTAAAGTAGGACCTAGTCCACTATGACTGGTGTCCTTATTAGAAGAGTAAATGTAGACATACCAACATCTACAGAGGGAAGAGGATATGAAAACACAGGGAGAAGATAGCCACCTGTAAGCCAGGGAAAAAGCCTCCCCTTTTGGCCCTCAGAAAGAACCTACCCTGTTGACACCTTGATCTTGAACTTACAACCCTCAAAAATGTGAGAAAATAAATTTATACTTTTAAAGCCACTGGTCTGGGATACTTTGTTATGGCAACCCTAGCAAACTAATATAGAAGGCAACCAACACAAACAAACAAACCAAAAACTTCTTAATATTTTCCTACTGAGGAATTAATATTTTCCTATCTTACTATTTTCCTACTGCTGAGTAGGAAGGAAATAGAAAATTTGATATTTATAGCTACCACAAGGCATATAATTCTACTGTATAATAAATCTAATAATTTATATTCATATCTCTTAACTATTTATAAGACAAGTGATATATGTATGTGTGTGTGCATGTGTGTGTATATATTTGTACACTTTTAATTTTGAGCTCTTTCATGGAAAGGATTTTTTAAACTCTTCTTTGTAATTACATATAATGTATATTATGTAAAGCTTCCACATTGTATAAGTTTATGTAAAATACTTAAGTATAGATTATTTTACATTAATTTTATTTAACTAAAACATGTCAGTTTAACAGGTTCACATTTTTTTAAAGTAACTTCTTTTTTTTTTTTTTTTTTTTTTTTTTGAGTGGGAGTCTCACTTTGTCACCCAGGCTGGAATACACTGGCATGACCTGGGCTTACTGCGACCTCTGTCTTTTGGGTTCAAGCAATCCTCTCATCTCAGCCTCCTAAGCAGCTGGGACTACAGCTGTGCACCATCCTGCTCTGCTAATTTTTGTATTTTTAGTAAACATCGGATTTCACTATGTTGGCCAGGCTGGTCTTGAACTTCTGACCTCGAGTGATCTGTCCACCTGGCCTCCTAAAGTGCTGGGATTACAGGTGTGAGCCACCACACCCAGCTAGCCTTAAAAAGTAACTTCTAAGGCTTGCTCTTTCTTTCTTTCTTTCTTTCTTTCTTTCTTTCTTTCTTTCTTTCTTTCTTTCTTTCTGTCTCTCTCTCTCCCCTCTCTCTCTCTCTCTTTCTGTCTGTCTCTCTCTCTCTCTCCTCTCTCTCTCTCTCTCTCTCTCTCTTTCTTTCTTTCTTTTCTGTTAGCCATGCACCTAAACATAGATGAAAGGAAATCAGTTCATACGGGTATATTCGATATATTTCTTTGAAAAGTTATCTGTCTCACTGTTGGGCTTGACTGCATTCTCAAATGACTATAATTATTCTATTCTCATATTTTTCTCCTGTAGAAAAGAAATCATGTTTGCATCAGTGCAGTTTGTATATAAAATAATTCACCACATTTATCAATTTAATTCCAATTAGCTTTCCTTAACCTGTTAATATGATTCTTTATTACTATAAAAGATTTTAATTTACCATTCAAAAGGATTTTAAATATTTTAAAAAGCATTTTGAAGAAAGCAGCAATTCAAGCAGTTTCATACTTCATCTTAATAAGAGCACTAATTTAATGATTGAAAATAGAGTTGGTTCTATAATGAGGTCTCATGAGTACTTCATTACATGATAAAGTAACACACAAAGGCAACCAATTCTTGCAAATTTAAAAGAGAACTATCTGAGAGAAAAGAATCAATGTAATAGATTATCCGTAGGTCAAGTATTATTAAGCAGAAATAATTGTTTAGTGGCTAACTTTTGTAAACATACCAAAGCTTTGTCTTTTAAAAACATATACATTGCATAATAAAAAGCAACAGGCCTTTAGTAAATGGATTTTTCTATTTAGTAAAAAGAGCCATGAAATAGACATTGCAACTGATTGTTTAAAATGCTTTGCACACAGGCACAGACACAATCTCTCAGTCTCCTGTGAATTAGCAAACTGGTGAGTCACTTCTCTGTGTCTTTAACTTGGACATGTTTACAAAGTATTTACCATCCTACTGAACATAGTATAAAACTCTAAAACTTAAGATAAAGCCATGTGGATGAACATAAGCACATCCATCCATTTTTAAATTCATATATATATATTTAACATAGATAACAATGCTATGTATTATACAAGCAATGCATATATGATGTATGATCTAATATATAATTAAAATATTTATAAATAAATACATATATACTTATTTAATTATTTAAAAATTATGCTTGCTGAGTATCCAGTACAAACACAGATGCACAAAGGCATTGTCCTGGCTTGCCAGGAGGTGAAGGTCTCATGCAGATGTCAGACATATGAGCAAATAAATAAACTAAAGTTTTTATAAATGCTATCAAAATGGTATGTGAAAGTGCTACAGGTAGGAGGAAGGGGAACTTAACATTTTTGAAGGGGGTTAAAAAAAAGGTCTCACAGAAGCACTGCTATTTATTTACCACATGGATAGTAACCTTTGAAAGAAAAAGGATAATGGTGCTCAAATGCACAAACTTATCATTTGCTAGACCAAATAATTTACTATTTCTGAATCTTCACTTATTTCTATTTTTCTAAACTTTTAAAGTTTTGATTTTCTTCTTTTTTACCCTGAAATATATATATATAATATATTTGTAATTACTTGAGTCATTATCAATCATAGGATTTTATTTTTTTCCTTTATATTGCACAATAGATTTGTTTGCAAAACAATTCGAGAATAATACATAAAAATTTGACTGAACGAATAACTTATGACTTTTAAAATTTCAGAAATTTGCATATAAAATCAATGACGTTTCTGTTTATTTTATAAATACCTGAACTAAAGTGGTGAGAGTGAGAATTTGGGACTAATAATAGAATAAAATCTATAGAGCCTGATGATTGAGTAGATGTGGGAATTGGCTAAAACAAGCCAATATAAGATTAAATGTGTTTTAGCTCAGGGACCATTGATAATGGAAATACTTGCCATGGTAGGACACTTTGAAAAAGAGTCTGTTTCAGAGAGCAGAAATGGGAATGATAAAAAATAGTTTTGAATATATTGCATTTGAGTATTTATAAAACATTATATTAATTTAATGTTACTAAAACTTAAAGATGAATTAGAACACTTATAACAGTTTTTTTTTTCTTTTTGGCTTAAATTTGTATAAATGTTTCCATGTATGAGGTTAATTGTAAGTTGATATGAAGAATAAATTTAAGATATCATGTTACCCTTCAACTTTTTTATAACTTAACAGGGGAAATAAAACTTACTCAAATATAACTAAACAGCCTTTTGAGAGGATGAATACCCTACTTTCTAAGTGATCATTTAGAGCAATGTCTTTCTCAAAGTCTTGTATGGGCTGGTGGAGAATTCAAATTACTGTACTAAATAGAATTATACTTACCTTCTGATTTATGACCTTGTATGTTAAAAATCCTCAGTTTTACTATCTATAAAATATGCATAATGTTTTGCAAAATTATTGTGAGTAATAATTGGCTAAAATGTATGAAACGATCTAGTATAGTGTTTTGTACACGTTAGATTACTTCCTTCTCACACTTTGAATACATTCAAATCAAATGAGACATATAAATATCAGAATTTTTAAAGGATGATTGCTAAAATGCACCTACAAACATAAATTATTAAATGATTCAATTTTTTTGACTGGCTATTATCAATGCAACATAAAAGTATATTTAAAAATCATCTATTTGACTAATTTAAAAATATAGCCAAATAAAATTGTACCTAGTAGCTATCTAGGACTTACCCACTTCTTCGTGAAATAAATTTAGAGGCTTAACTTATCTAATTTGGCAAGACTAATATAAAAAATTCAATGGCAAATTGCCAAATCACAACAGTGTGTTATATTTAGTGATATAGCCCATTCTTTTAAATTTTTTTAATGTATTTTTTAAATCAACAGATAAAATTTTAGGTATTTATATTTCACAACATGATGTTTTGAAGTATATATTCATTGTGGAATGGCTATTAAATCCAAATACAAGCTTAACAAAATGCTGGAAGAATGATTTAATATATTTACCATGGTTACAAAATAATTTTTCTGATATATTCTGTTGAAACATGTTATGAATTCTGTCACCTCTGCTTGGTTACAGTATTGACACTTCCTTGCTGTAAGAATATCTAATTTGTTTGCAGATAATTTATCAGAATTGGACTGGTTTACCTCTTTCACAAGTTGCTTTGGCAAATTAAAAAGTGTCCTGGCGTGGTCTCTGTTTGGCTTGAGTCACCGATGGGTATGTTGGCAATACTAAATTAGAGGCAGCCAGACCCTCTGAATCTTGTGGTTGGAAATGTACCAAGTAGTCTTTGGCACAGAGTTTCTCTTATTCAAGGGTGTTAGTTTTGGAAAACTAGAGAGCTGAGATAGAGGAACAGGAGAACTGAAATATATAGTGAAGGAAACATGCATTTCAGCCCAGGAGGACATACAAGGATTTAAGTTGATTGGCTACTCCTGGCTGTCTCCAGAAATTCTTTGAAGTATGTGTTCAAATGCTTTCTGCATATTTGGAATAGAAGGATTACCTTAAATCTTAAAAGAAACATTGATAAACTTAGGAAAAAGTAGCTGTGCAGGGATGTCCATCTCCTATATATACGCAAACTACCTATACAGAACTCAAAACTTTGAATTTTGAATAATACTGCTCAGTCTTTATAATGATAATAAATATATTTTAAAATCATTGAATTAACATTTATTTCCTTATTCCTTTTTCTCTAGAAGTAAGGAGATAAATACAGCCTAGAGATATAGATGAACTATGATTCATATCTCACCTCCATAGCTTACAAATTGCTTGGCCTGCATCAAGGCCTTTTCCTTTCAAAGCAGCTTTCTATCATATAAAAATGAGGATAATACTCTCGTAAGCAAGACGAAAGATAAGGATAATGTATTTAGAACATCAGGATCAACTTCAGAGGTCCTAATACTGAAAAGAATTTGTAGTTTTCAATCTTCATTCAAGTGTGTGGAGCAGGGAGAGAGAAAGAAAACTGAGATAACAAAAAAGGGAGAATAAGCTGCGTAAATAAAGAGAAGATGTATAATTTTAGACAACTTGTTTAGATGCATTCTACAAAAGACACACAAGTACACACTTCTTTGAGAATTTTTTTCCTTTCTTACAAAAATCTATCTGTACATAATTTAAAACAGTAGACCTGGCAACCTGAAAAGGGTTAATTTAACAATCGTATAAGGAAAGAGGCATCCACTATATTCAAAATGAGCAAAGATGGCCTAGTTTCTTACATTTATCTCCAACATCCTCACCACTGCTAAGCTTGCAAATGACACATAAGGAAAAAGTCATAGCCTTATGTGATTTGACTCATCCCTGTTTTGAAATTGCACATATACCAATATTAAGAACAGTATCTCTAGGACGTAGCTTTTCTACCAACATGTAACATTGATTTTTATGTTTTCAAAACTTTTCAAATTCCCCTGCATAGAATGCAGTGAATTCTATTACTTACAGAGACTTACATTAGTTACTCTAGTTTTCCTGTCAAGAAATTCTAAATCACTTTTAATATAATACAAAGACAAATACTTAAATGTTTAAATAACCGGTTCCATATAAAACAAAACAAAACTACTGCAAAACAAAACAAAACAAACAAAACCTCTACTAAAAGAATATAATGAGAGCCATTTTATTGTGCCTGGTATTTTAAATTATATAATATAAATATATACATATTATACATACAATTTCACTAAAAAAAAAAAAACAACTGTTATTTTTCTTGAAGGGAAAACAAAGGATATATAAATTGCCAGAAAACGCACAGCTGGTAAGCAGCTTAGCTGTCAGGAATTACAATGTAGATGTAGATGTGTTCAATTCTAAACTTAGGACTCTTCCCTTACATCATTCTCATTCTAATTACCCCATATAAAAGACAAAATATAAATTGTTAAAAGGCAGAGTAAAAAATTATAAACAATTGAGGTATGGCCCAGGTTTTTCTCGAGAATTTTGTGAAAACTATTTATTATCTGTCAATAGAAATCATCAAGGAAGGGCATAGTGGCTTACATCTGTAAACCAAGCATTTTGGGAGGCCAACGTGGGAGGATCACTTGAGCCCAGGAGTTTGAGACCAGCCTGAGCAGCATAGCGAGACCCCATCTCTACAAAAAATAATTGAAAAAAAAATTAGCCAGGCATGGTAGTGTACGCCTGTAGTCCCAGATACTGGGGAAGTGGAGGTGAGAGGGTTGCCTGAGCCCAGAAGTTTGAGGCTGCAGTGAGCCATGATGGCGACACTGCACTACAGCCTGGGCACCAGAGCAAGAACTTGTCTCAAAATAATAATAATAATAATAATAATAAAAGGCCGGGAGCGGTGGCTTACTCCTGTAATCCCATCACTTTGGGAGGCCAAGGCGGGCGGATCACGAGGTCAGGAGATGGAGACCATCCTGGCTAACGCGGTGAAACCTCATCTCTACTAAAAATACAAAAAATTAGCCGGGCGTGGTGGCGGGCGCCTGTAGTCCCAGCTACTCAGGAGGCTGAGGCAGGAGAATGGCGTGAACCCAGGAGGTGGAGCTTGCTGTGAGCAGAGATTGCGCCACTGTACTCCAGCCTGGGTGACAGTGTGAGACTTTGTCTCAAAAATAAAAATAAAAAATAATAATATTATAAAAATAAAAAGATACACTTGTAATAAATAGTAATATCTACTTTTGAAGGTTGGCCAAAATTAATGCAATACAGCTTTCCTATAAAATGAAATAATATAATTGCCAATTCCCCATTTATTTTTTAATTATAGACTTATATTCAACCTCAAAACTTGAAAGAACGTTTATAATCACATTTTTTTAAATTTTTGTTGTTTAAGACTTTAACCTTAACTTTGAAGTTGAATTTAGGCTGCATTAATTATATAATTTAAATTCTCTAACTCAAAAGCCATGAATCTTAGATCTTTGGTCAACATTAGAAATTTTTTTATTTGTATAAATTTAAGCGGTACAAGTGTGGTTTTATTACATAAGTAATATAAATCCCATGTTTGTTATATATTGCATAGCAGTGAAGTCTGGGCTGAGATGGTTTGCCTTTGCGTTCCCATGCAAATCTCCTGTTGAATTGTGATCTTCAGTGTTAGAGGAGGGGCGGGTGGGAGGTGATTGGATCATGGGGGCAGATTTCTCCCTTGCTGTTCTCATGATAGTGAGTGAGTTCTCATGATATCTGATTGTTTAAAAGTGAGTAGCACTTCCCCTTTGCTCTCTTTCTCCTGCTCCACCATCGTAAGATGTGCATGGATTCCCTTTGCCTTCTGCCATGATTGTTAAGTTTCCTGAGCCTCTCAGCCATGCTTCGTGTACAGCCTACAGTTCTACGAATCAGTTAAAAGGTGTTTCTCCATAAATTACCCAGTCTCAGATAGTTCATTATAGCAGTGTGAGAAAGAACTAATACATGGGCTTTTAGTGTAAACATCACCCAAATAATGCACACTGTACCCATTACATAATTTCTCATCCCTCACTCCCCTCTCACTCTCCTACCCTTCTGAGTCTCCAATGTCTGTTATTCCACACTCTACATACATATCCATACATTGTTTAGTTTCCACTGATAAGTGAGAATATGCGCTATTTGACTTTCTGTTTCTGAATTATTACACTTAAGGTAATGGCCTCCAATTCCATTCATGTTGCCGCAAAAGACACGATTTCATTCCTTTTTATGGCTGAGTATTGTGTGTGTGTGTGTGTGTGTGTGTATGTATGTCACATTTCCTTTTTCTTATCATCTGTTAATAGACACTTAGCTCTATGCCATATAATAGTGCTGCAATAAACATACAAGCACAAGATTTTTTTTATATATAATAATTGATTTTACACTGGTTAGATTCCCAGTAGTGGGATTGCTGGATCAAATGGTAGTTCCATTTTTAGTTCTTTGAGAACTCTTCATACTCTTTTCCCTAGAGGTTATAATAATTTACATTCCCACTAACAGTCTGTAATCATTCTTTTTTCTCCTCATCCTCATCAACAACTTTTTTTTTTGACTTTCGTAATAGCCATTCTGACTCGTATAAATTGTAGATATAAGTATTGAGAGAACTCAGCACTCTTGACTTAGAACAAAAGAAAATGATAGTATAGAAGATTCTACCAAAAACTGTGTAGATTCTTAAAACCACATCTCTTTTTAACTACATTATGGTAATATAGTTAAGATTCAGGTGAATTGTGAAGTGCTATAAGAAATGAAGCTAATTTGAGTAAATGATATTAAAATTTATTCACTGAGAAACATTTTTATAATACTTATTTTGGACAAGGCACTTTTCTAGACACTTACGGTGGCCAGAAAAAAAAAATGACAACATCCCTGTCCTCATAGAAATTCCATTCAGTGATACCATTTTAGACAATAATCTCAATATTCAGCATTTTCCATCATAAATTTCTTACTTCCTATAGATAACAAATCTAGAATTTGACACAAATTATTCAAAAATTATTTTTAAAGCTGGATAATTTCCATAGTTGTGGATGCCTTAACCTAAAGTTGTGTAGGTTTGTATAGAATTGTTTGCTTAGTGTCTAGCACTCTTAAAGTGTTTTTATACAAAAATTAAAAACAGAATTGTTTTTTCTATTTTACCTAACTTAATTTTGAAAAAAACTCCACACTTTTATTAAAGTTTATTCATAGACTTTTTATTTATTTATTTATTTTTTGAGATGGCGTCTCGTTCTGTTGCCCAGGCTGGAGTGCAGTGGCGTGATCTCGGCTTACTGCAAGCTCCGCTTCCCGGGTTCACACCATTCTCCTGCCTCAGCCTTCTGAGTAGCTGGGACTACAGCCATCCGCCACCACGCCTGGCTAAATGTTTTTTGTATTTTTTTTTTTTTTTTTTTTTTTTTTTTGAGACGGAGTCTCGCTCTGTCGCCCAGGCTGGAGTGCAGTGGCGGGATCTCGGCTCACTGCAAGCTCCGCCTCCCGGGTTCACGCCATTCTCCTGCCTCAGCCTCCCAAGTAGCTGGGACTACAGGCGCCCGCCACTACGCCCGGCTAATTTTTTGTATTTTTAATAGAGACAGGGTTTCACCATGTTAGCCAGGATGGTCTCAATCTCCTGACCTCGTGATCCTCCCGCCTCGGCCTCCTAAAGTGCTGGGATTACAGGAGTGAGCCACCGCGCCCAGACCTAGTCATAGACAATTTTAAAATTAGGATTTATTTGGAATAGGGTTAATATAAATATCTCACGAATGTTGTTATTAGTAGTGTAAATGAGTTTTTTAAAATAATGCAAGATTTATATTTTGAACTGAATCATATTCCCTCAAAGTTTATTTGTTATGGCCTAACTCCCAATGTGACTGTTTTCAGACATAAGGCCTTTAAGGAGATAATTATGGTTAATGAGATCATAAGAATGGGAACTTAATCCAGTAGAACTGGTGTCCTTTAAAAAAAGAAAGAGATACCAATGATCTCTTGCCCAGAGGAAAAGCTACGTGAAGACACAGTCAGAAATTGGATATCTGCGTATGTACAAGCCAGAAAGAGGTTTCAGAAACCAACCCCGCCAGCATCTTAATCTTGGGGACTTCCAACTTCTAGAACTGAGAGAAAATACATTTCTGTTGTTTAATCCAAACCGGTCTGTAGTATTTTGTTACAGCAGCTGCAGCAGACTAATATAATTTATAACAGACCTAGTAAGGACTGTGTTTTTATGTTATGTCCTCCTAAATTATCTCATAGCTTCATTACACCCTGTAAAGACATCAGTTATAATTTTAAGAAAAATGATAATATATTCATAATTCAGAGAGCCAGAAAAGTGTGTGATTCCATCATCATTTTCACTTTTTCCACAAAACTGAGAACACTGGTTTGAGGATTCTGATGTCATAGTCATAATACATACAAATTAAATGCATAAAGACCGAAAGGCCATAAGAATTAAATGAAAAATTAAACCCAGAAGGAGTTACATAATTAAAGAAAGTTTGATTGACAAAGGGAAATACTTATTAGTATGAATGTCATATATTTACACAGTTTGATGTAATTAAAAAGTTATTTCACATGCATCATTTCAATTATCTCTCACAACCCAGAAGAAGATCAGAACAGGAGGACAGAAAAATATTATGAACTCATAGAGCTTCTTATCCATCTTCCCTTCAAGAAAATGACCACAATTACAATTTTATTTTTATTTGTGTAATTCTTTGGTTATTGTTTGTCTCTCCCACTAGATTATAAGATCCATATTTGTTTTCTCTTTTCATTATATGTACAGTGCCTGATGTAGTTGTTTTGAACTTTTAAAAATTGAAGACTAAATGCACTTTCTACCTTGATCCTGAAGTTTTGTATTTTGGAGGACCAACTAAAAAGCCTCACTCATTTTCTTTTTTTAAAAATGATAATAGGACCAAATTTCATATACCCTAATCATTTCTGTGAAAAAAATTTTTGGTACACTTACAATCTCAAACAATATATAATATAAAGGAAATCAATTTAGTCTTCAAACTGGCAAGGAATAAATTAGTAGTACTGGCCGACTATTTCTTTTGGGCATCAAGGACTGCTTACTATGGGTGGAAGACTTTATCAATCTTCCTTATAATACAGAAGGAAAAATTCACATGCCCTAAAACATTCATTGAGCTGATTCTACAGCTTAAATTTGAGGGCATTGTGGTGATAAGGTGACCAGAGTTAAGTACATGTATATTAAGGTCTTGAACTTTTGGTCTGCCATGACTCCACCTCCACCTCCATTACCATATTCATCTACAATATTCCTGATGGTGCCTAACTGATTATCCAGTATATTCATTGCAATTAAATAATGCTATCGTTCCCCTAGTACGTAATTAGGAAGGGGAATTTGTTGCAACTATTCTTCCACCCAAAGACTGACAAGCCTGTCTTTAGAGAAGTTTCAACAGGAGATGGAAAAAGAGATATGGAGTGATGCATGATTTCTGTGACTAGATTAGAAAGCCTTCTCTCATAATCAGTAAACTTAGCATGCAGACCACCAAAACATTCATTCCTTCCTTCATTACTCTTGTATTTTCCTATGAATTGAGTATTGGGTTTAGCATAGAGAATACAAAATTGGCAAGCAAAAAGGGAATGTCATGTATTACTTCATAAAGTTTACAATTGAACCAGAAAAACAAAAACTGATCACATATGTGAAAAAGGTAATTAGAGGATTAGGGCTCCATCCTTGTGATCTCATTAACGCTAATTACCTCTCTTAGATGAGTGAAGTTAAAATCATGACAAGAGATAAAATAGAGGCAGAACATAGGCAAAAACTTTCATTAAATGAATTAATGAATGAATATCTCAGTAGGTAAAAGAAAAAAAAAAAGGAGGCTAGATTAGCTGGAACAAAGAGTAGCCCTGAAGGAAGCAAAGACTGATCACATAACACAGAGCCTAGCTAATCTTAATCTTAGAAAAAGAAAAAGACATTGAAGGTCAATGTCTTTGCTCATACCTGTTACTTAAAGGGTAAGGATTATTAGAGGAAGGAAAATATCAAATGCAGTTCTGAAAAACTAACTCAAGCAATACAGAGAAAGGGAAATGATTGTAGGGAGCTTTGGACTGATATGGGAAACCATATCAGTTTCATATCAGTAATCATGCTCTTGGGATTAGACAGATTTGGACCTTCTGATCAATGCATGATATAAACTTGGAAGAGTGGACATTTGTTAACTGCTAAAAAAATTCTTCTTTGTATTATCTTCCTTTACATGGTTTCATCAAATGAAAGGCACCATTAGCTGCCAGGAATAACTCTATAAATACAGTCGCTAAATTATGGAGCTATTTCATGCACTATTTATCATTCAAATATGAGAAAACTAAGCTATCACAAATGTCTGCCTCTATTTGCTGGAAAACTGAGTTCAGTATATTGATTCCAAGATAATGAACAGCAATATTCCCTTGCTCTGACACCGAAATATCTATTCTTTATTTTTGTGTATTTTTTTCTTAACTTCTAAATTGAACAAATGTTTCAGTATTTCAAAAAGTAAAACATGAAAAATATTAACACAATTAAAGTATAAGCACAACTATTTAGTAAATTCTTCCTGAAAATTAAATACTTTTAGAAATTAAATTCCTGTCTTGAAGGAAAAGTGAAATGCCATGCAGAAATGTGCAAATGTCATGAAAATTATATCTGGGTTAGATAAACCTCACAAAGCACAATTTTCTGGAATATGGAACAAATTAAAACCTTTTTTATGTTTTAGTAAAAATATTTTATATTCAATAAAAAATAACAATAGTCAATAAAATACAGTTTCACTATGATAAAGTTAACTAAAAGGTATTATCATTTCAGTGTTTTGATGTTAAAGTTATCTGTTAAAGGAAGAAGAATATAATTTTGTATAACATTGCTATAGGGTTACACTATTTTTTATATATACTGTATATATGTGTATATGTATAATATAATGTAATATAATATAACATAATAATCTTTGGAAAAAAGCTCAGAATTTTTTAGGTACCCAAAATTTTCCCATTTTCTCTGTTGATTTAGAGTTTATTACAAAATGTCCAAAGAAACATTCCAAGTAAAAAACCAGTATGCAACTTAAATTTCCATTTATTCATTCTTCTTGGGTCGTTAAGCAAAAATTCCCCAAATGTGACACAACTTTGCTCCCCTGCTTTGTCTACAACACTATAATTCCCCGTTACAGCAATTCTATGTTTACGATCATTCAACTTTCACTCCTGCTATATGGCAGGTAAATGTTACATGTTAGGAGAACAAAGAGAACTAAAACATTATTATTGAATTCTAAAAACTAAAAAAAGCAGCAGGTGAAGTCTAACAGATAAACAGCTGACAAAAATGCAATGTCGTAGATACTATGAACATTTATGCATAAAGTGCTTTGTGAACACAGATAATGTTGGTTGTATCTGTAGGTTTCTAACAAAAGAAATCTGCTAGAAATCTGTTAGAAATCTGTAGGTTTCTAACAAATGGTTGAATCTGTAGGTTTCTAACAAAAGAAATAGTAGAAATTGAGCTTTGAAAGATAAGTATATATTAACCAATGATGTCAGTAAAATATTTTTTCTTTTTTTTGGTTTCAGAAGAAAGCAAGAACAAAGCAAAGATGTCAAGAAATTAAATATGTTGGTGAGATTCTAACAATCTGTCTCAGTTGGTCAGGGGTTTCATTTTTCACTGAATATCCTAGGTTCGCTTTTAACTCCAAACTTCTGCTCAAACTTTTTTTTTTTCTGGGATACTATTTATTATCTTTGATAAATATCTGTGTCAAGGAAAACTACAATGGCTGAAAATATATCTTGGCCTGGGCTGGTGCCCTTTTGAAGACATCTCTTCTTGTCTGAGCTCAATTGCTCTATCTTTGAAGTTTTAAAGGAATAATCTTCTGTATTACTTACGTCAATCCTGTTCACATACAGCTGAGCTTATTCTCTGTATTCTCTCCTTAATTAGGTAGTAAACATTTTAACAGGAAATTTTCTCCAACAATGTTTTAATTTTGTTTATAATACTTTCCACAACTTTCAAAATAAATATTTATTGTATTGAACTGAATTAAATCTTCTTTGGTAATCAATAAGTTCACCCTTTGATTATGCCCCTCAATTGTAAGCTTCAGGCCCATCAAACAATGTATGTTTTGTATTTTTTACTTTTATAGGTTTATTGGGCACAAGTAAAGTTTGGTTACATGGATATATTACATAGTGGTAAAGTTTGGGCTTTCAGTGCAAGCATCACCAAAGTAATGCACATTGCATACATTATGTAATTTCTCATCCCTTACCCCCCTCACACCCTCCCACTAGTCTGAGTCTTCACTCTCTATGTTCGTGTGTACACATTGTTTAGCTCTCACTTATAAGTGAGAATATGCAGTATTTGACATTCTGTTTCTGACTTATCTCACTTAAGATAATGACAAGTTCCATCCACATTGCCTCAAAAGACATGATTTCATTATTTTTATGACTGAGTAGTATTCAATTTTGTATATGTGTATGCATAAATAGTCTGTTGATTGAGTCGATTCCATATTTTTTCTATTGTGAATAGTGCTGCAATAAATATACAAGCATGGATATTTTTTATATGATAATTCATTTTCCTTTGGGTAGATATCCAGTAGTGAGATTGCTGGATTCAATGAAAAAAAAAAGTCCAACATCACTAGTCATCAGGTACATGCAAATTAAAACCACAATGAGATACCATCTCATACCAGCCAGAATGACTATTATTAAAAAGTCAAAAAACAACAGCTATTGGCAAGGATGTGGAGAAAAGGGATTGGTCATACACTGTTGGTGAGAAGGCAAATTAGTGCAACCTCTTTGGGAAGGAGTATGGAGATTTCTATAAAGAACTTATAGTAGAATGATGTACTTTGTACATTGTTTTTCAGGACAGGATGTCACTCTATTGCCCAGGCTGGAGTGCAATGGCATAATCACAGCTCACTGCAGCCTCCACCTCCAGGCTTAAGCCATCCTTCCACCTCAGTCTCCTGAGTAGCCTTAGTAAAGAGAGAGGAATACCTTTGGCCAAGGGAGAGTAAAAGACTGCAGTTAGGAAAGTGTGGACTGTGTTTAGATTTTAAAAAGCTTTGAACTTTGTCTAGAGAATAGGTCATGGATAGATAACAGAAGAAGAGACATGACAAAATGATCAGATTCATGAGGTAGGGAGATTTGTTCTCTTCTTTTCAGTTTTCATTTTCATGTATGTATTTACTTATATATATATTTTAAAATTTATGGGTGCTATATATATATAACACCCACATATACATATACACATATATATGTATTATATAGGATATATATATGTAATACATAGGATATCAAATTAAGGGGTTTAGATTAGGAATTACAGTGGGTATCTGTTTTTAGTTAGCCTGCATCTTTTATATGCTTTAATTTTATTCATTATTAGGTTTTTTTTTTTTTTGGTAAAACATCCTGAATTATCTTTGAACTATCCCTTGACACTGCAAATCATGTTGATCTTGTCTCTCAGAAATTTGAACCTTAATCATTGACCCAAGGAGAAAAAAATGGAAGGAGCTGAAGCACCAATTACAATGACATCAACAGATTTCTTTCTCATTTCTACAAACTTCTCTACTTCCTGTCCTATACAAGGACTGTTTTTCTTTTCCTTTAAATCTAGGAGTTGCCATGGATCCTGTCAAAAAATTCCTTTTGTTTTCCATAATTTGGCCAGAGTCAATTTATGTTGCTTAAAACTAAAGTACTTTATTCAGAAACCAACAGAATTACATTCTATGACATTTTCACATAGGTGTTAGGAGTCAGAATAAAGCAAGATTCTATTTCTCACATGTAGTTTTCAAAGATGGAATAAAAATTCAAAAGATCTGTCCAGTGGAAAATGTTATTATAGAATAGATGTTATTTCAAAACATCATTATGTAGAAAATGCTGTGCTATCTTTTGAAGGAAATCTTGTCAATGTACAAAGTAACTGTGCTTGGAAAGGATTCTTGGAAAGAATAAGTTTCTCATACTTTTGTAGCCAATGTATAAAATCAACAATTTACATTGAGAAATCAAGGATTAGATTATTTCTGGAGAGCATGAAGAACATATTTTCAATTACTTGAAAATGTGTAGCTCACAAGAAGTGTATTCATAGTGAAGTAATTTTCCTGAAATAGTATAAAAGGTTAAGAGCAAAGTGAAAGTAGGAAGGACTCAGGATACAAACAATATCAAGCAAAGGACTTATTTTTATGATTTAAAATGTCAACTGACTTATATGTTAGGTATTCACGACACTTCTTGCTAACATTAAACAATAACTTTGCTACTAATAATAGCTGAAATGTATTTAGAACTAAGTGCCAAATTCTGTGCTGAACACTGTGTAGATTATCTCACTCAACCTTCACTAGACTACTATATGAACAGGCTGTGTAATTCTTAGGACTCTTTAATCACACAAGAACAGCAAACCCGATCTATATTTGCTTCAGCAAATAGGAAATTTATGGGCTCACATAAACAAAACTTCCTGGAAGAGGGTTGTCTTAAAGGGCAGTTTAATGCATGGGCTTAAAACATGTAAACAATATTTACAGTTTCAAGTCCCTACCTTGAATCCCCTTTCTTTCATGAATTGTCAGTACCTAACTCCTCACAATCACAGGATAGCTATTTCAGCCCAGTTGAACACTCAACTAACTCTAGATACAGAGGAAAGATAAATACATGTTTTATCTGTGAACATGGTAAAGTCTTGGCTTGATTCTCCTTGACTGAATTGAATGGTACTCGTTCCTGTAATAATCGAGATGACATGTGTTAAAGGATTTGCACTATTTATAACAATATAATTGTGTGCATAGTAGTAATAAAGATGATAAACATAATGAGAGCAGTGAACACTTGCAGTACTTCCATAATTCTAAAAACTTTGAATAGATTAACTTATAACTTTACAATAACTGCAACACATAATATGCTATTACTATCTACATTATATTGATGAGAAAACGTACACACAGAGAGGTTAATTCACTTGACCTTTTTCAACCATCTGTTAAGTTGCAGAATTTGGGTTCCATCAGAAATTATCTGGCCCTAAAGGGTACAAACTAACCATTATAATGTGGTGTCATTCATTCTTTGAGCTGTTAGTGAGACCATTCCCTTGCAAACCACATGTACTGAAAGTACTTGAATGCTATCACAGAAAATGCAGAGTGCTTTTCTCCAGAAGATAAAGAAACTGAGGCACAGGAATTAAGTAGCTACTCTGAGGTAATAAACTAGTGAATGGCTAAGGTAGAATACTACCTATTTGATGGTAGAACTGGAAGTCCTAACTACTAGAATATATGAATGCATAAAATGACTGTTATTGGATATATTTGAAAACAAACATGGTAGCCACAATTGCATTTGGAGTCTATTACTTTGATGAATTTTTATTTTTCCCATGAATCATGTTTGCTGATAATCAAAGACCTAGTATAAGGCTCTGAACCTAAGGAGAAGAGGGAGGGCAAATGCTACATGGAATAATAATTCAAAAAAAACTAGATTTAAATTTCAATGAGAAGTTTTATTTTGGGTTTTGCTTCTTTCTTAAAAGCATACCGAAAAGAAATCATCTTAAAACTCAGGCTTTGCAAAAAATAGATATGAGAATCTATTTTCTATTAGCTTCCATTCACATATCTGGAACCAATCCTGGTTGACTGAATCACAGATAATATCCCATAGTTTTGAAGGTATATCTCTGAAACCATTATTGCTAAGCTACAGAAAGAAGTTTCATACAGTATTGAGAAACCTAAGCCACAGAGAAATAGAAATTGGCAAGCCCAAGACTGTCTGTACAAAGGCCCCATTATAGACTAATAAAATTGAATCTCTGCGTTCAGAGAGTCAATGTTAATGTTCAAATTTTCTGACCCTAATCCTAACTCTAGGTTCAGTTATAAAAAAATGGAATCTAGGGCCTGGGCATCCCTATTTTTAAACAAATACCCAGTGTTTTTAATGTTCAGACAATGTTGAAAAATACTGCTCTAGAAAAAAAAGCACTGTATAACCAATTCTCCCATTGTGTAGGCAACAGCATCACTGGGTTATTGGGAAGTTGCCAGAAAAATAAGCCTGAAGAAGCTCTTCTGACTCTCCCAACTCTAAACATAGATAACAATGAATTCAGAAATTTCGGTGTGCTCTAGTAAGGGGACATGTAGGTGCTGAGAGGTTCAAGGGTGATGGTTAAGACCAAGAGACCTTTGTATTTTGGGGTTTTATACATGAGAAATATGACCAAGACCACAGATGCCAAAAACAGGTGCCAAAAATTCTCTCTGAAAAGTCAGAAAGAACAAGTATCCAGTCACCAATGCAGGCTCAAAAACAAAGGAGCTACTCAACAACAACTAGAATATCATAAGTATTTGAGGTTCCCATGATATATCCAAACACCATCTTGGAAAGGACCAGATATCATACAGGTTTGGTATTTGAGCATTTACACGGAAGAAAAAAAATTTTTAATGCAAAGAAACATGCTGCTTTAAACTGTTTTTTTTTTTTTTTTTTTTTCCTCTTAACCCACATCAGGATAAAGAGTGAGGGCAGGTTGTGGGACTTAAGAGAAAAAGTACATAAATTATACAGAATAAAAAGCTTTATTTCCTTTGCATATTTAGGTGATAGTATGCCCATTTTTGACACACAAATTCTAATTTCACATATCCTATTTTATTCTCCCTACATTTTTTGACCTTTTTCTTCTCTCATTCTAACAGCAATTACTCTGCATCTTTGCTTCTGGACGGGTTTGTGACTGGAAAGAAGGCATTTGCCTAGAACCATCCCTTTCTCAGCATTAGTTCCAGAAGTGTAAACTCATTGAGGAAATTTTACAGAGTGCTCTGAGGAAACTGTAAGCAAAGAAGAAGACCTCTGAAAAGAAACATCCAGATGGAATTTGCCTAATAGCAAGAGAAGAACCCAACTTCATGGCTGGGGAAAAGCGCAGTGATTGTGAGCCTGTAAGCAGGAGAGACACAGGCATTGTGGGTCCTCAGCAGCAGAGGGGAGACGGGGCAAAATTCCCAAATGAAATCAGTGCATGTGCACCTAACTTTTTCTTTATTAACAATAACATTTGATAACAATTTGTACTTACAGGTGTACAACGTTGACAGAAAAATAGCATAATGCTTTCAAACCTAATGAAGGCACTACAAACAACTAAGGCAGTATTTTCTTACAGTCAGGTAAAATCAAAAGTCCAGTCAAAAATTAGGTCAATTTAAAGAAAAATTACGTCAAATTTATTGTACTCCTAAATAAACTATTCATACTTACTACCTAAAAGATAGTTTTGAATTGATAGATTAAATTTACAGACATTCAGTAATTAAGATATTCAATAACCAATACTTGTTTAAAATGTTAAATATAGAAGAAAATGTATCCTTGAGCCAAAATTTGAGGCTGAGGGAAAGGTGACACTTGCCTAGAAAGATGAGCCAATACACCTTAGCCTTTACCCAGGTAAAGAAAGCACTGCTATCATGGATTTTATCAGAAAAGAGAAAATTTCCTGGTATATCCAGCTAACATATACTCCTAGTATATCCACATAAACACATATTACCCCAAAAATATCAATATCTGGAATTCGAGTCATTGATAGAATGCTAAGGCCCCAGTTAAAAAAAATAAACTATTGAGTAAATATATGGACTCATACAAACTAGTGCAAGCTTGTGCATTTTAAAACCTGGTTGTGGCCGGGCGCAGTGGCTCACACCTGTAATCCCAGCACTTTGGGAGGCCGAGGCGGGTGGATCACCTGAGGTCATGAGTTCAAGACCAGCGCAAACAACATGGTGAAACCCCATTTCCACTAAAAATACAAAATTAGCCAGGTGTGGTGGCGGACACCTGTAATCCCAACTACCCGGGAGGCTGAGGCAGGAGAATCGCTTGAACCTGGAGGGCAGAGGTTGCAGTGAGCTGAGATCGTGCCACTGCACTCCAGCCTGGACAACAGAGTGAAAAAACAAAACAAAAGAAAACAAAACTAGTTGAAATAACATCCTTTTGGCTAAAATTTAATTACCCAAGAAATCTAATTAATAGGTACATTTTGAGACTATTCTATTCCTCAAATAGTGCAGTTTCTTCACGCCTTACAATACCCTATAGCTTATTTGCTAGAAAATACTATCTCATCTCACATTTTGTCTTTACATTTTTAATCATTTATATCTGACATTCAATTGGATAGTGATTTTTTTATTTGATTAGCAATTATTTTAAGATAATTATGCAGGGATTCATTTTTTTAGTTTATTCTTGCTTCGTGCTATTAAAGATGCAACTTTTGTTCACAGGAGGGCATCATTACTCAGAAAAGAAGTGATTTATGGAGTAATTAAAGCAAACGAAATCTTCAGTAACCAAGTGTAAATTGTAAGTGAATGCTCACTTGGTCTGACCTCTCTACTCTTTCTAAACATAAAATATTTATTGTTGCCATTAGTATTTTAATAATCCTGGGTTTTAGAAATATTTTTATTTAATTTTCACTTTGTTTATATTTATTTTTTCTAAGTAAAAGATACTAAAATGAATGAACATTTTTACTAAAACTAGGAATAGTGCCAGATAAAACCTAGATGATTTTAAAACTATGAATAAAATAGAGTTACAATTACACACATATACTCTCACGCTCATTTGTTTCCAGTTAAACATTTCTGATTACACATATATGTACCTGGCAATGTTTCCTATGTAATAGTATATTTGTTTCTATATAGCATATAAGAATTCTCTCATAATTATTAATGTATTCATTAAATTTACTTATTTATTGTTCAAACATTACTCATTAAATTGTGAACAATAAATGATTAGAGATTCCCCTGCCACCAGCCACAATCTGTAACTCTTAGTTGTTGACAATTATATTTTATAGATTAAGCTGAATTGAAAAACTGAAACAGTGATATTGGTAAATGTTGCAAAAATTTGAATAACTCTTCCACACATTACTAATAAAAAATGTGAACAAATAAATAAATAGGCCAAGAATTTGGAAAGCAAGTAAGAGATGCATGAATGTTTGGGTTAATATTTTTATACAAATACAGCCCTCTAAATTCAAACATATATAAAGGAGTACATATACATTTTTACAGATAAGTAACTAGAAATTATGACTTTATGGTGCATAATACAATGATGAATTAATATAGTTACATCACCAATGATTTATTTAATATTTAGAGTTATAATAGATTTTATAAAAATATATTCAGACATCAAAACATTTTTTATTAAAATGCTTATATTGTGGGTGACTGTATGTTCTTTTTAACATTTTATTAAAAATGGATGCTTTAAAATATGTTTAATAATCTTGCTCAAATAAACTAGAAATTAGTTTATATATTCATGGATATCATCAGAAATTTTAATAAAACTAACTTTTAGAAATATTTTATTTTATTTATGTTTCTTTTCTATGAAAAAGTAAAAGTGATGAGATTAACTCATTTCCACAACAGATTTCATGCTTCAGTTCCAATCTGTTTTCTAAAAATAGGAAGTCAACTCAATATTAATGTTTAGCATTTAGTTAATATCTAGAATATATTACTATGATACTGATCATTTTTACTCCCCTTAAAATACTGCTGTTAAGAAAAGAAATCAAGATAGAAAAATGTTCTTAATATAAAGCAGCACAAAGAGGAATAATATTATTATCTGAGAAATTCCTCCTTAAATACATGTTTGGAAGTATTCTCTGAGGGAACTTTGTACTCTTCTTTCGCTTTCCTAGAGCATAATGTGATTTGTTCAGAAGTTAAAGCAAAATTAATTAACTGAGTACAAACAGAAATCAATTTTTTTGTTTGATGCAATAAAATATGACTTATTGATATAATAAAATATGACTCAGATTTATAAAGTTTCATTGTTGTGGTTGTAGCTATATTTTAGCCACACAAAAGCCAATATCATTGTGAAAATCAGCAGTATTCTATAAAAATGGAACCACTGCACCCCATTCTGTTTGAATACTTGTTTCAAAAACATATTTGATCTGATAATTACTTTACAATAAATCATAGAAATATATTTAAAATGATATAAGCATAATGTTCAATTTTAAAACTAATTTATTATAATAATTTGCATGTTTAACAGCATTTAATATATGAATTTGTTTTCAAAATACATAAACCATTTAATTTTTAAGTCTGTGTTTTCCTTTATTACTAAAGACAAAATTATTTTCTACTAGAAACTCTGCATTTATTATATTCTAATTACAATCTTATTGTTCTGGTTCTTGTGTAATAATAATGGAGAAATAACAATTTTGTCCCATGTCATAATTAAGAAAGAGTGGAGAAAAATAACCTGTGTACCATTGATTAGTTCAACTGCTGTAGTTACACTTGTGAAATTTTAAGACAGTAGCTCTCAATGACTTTCCAGTATTTCTGCCCATATTGCCATTCCCAAATACCTGAGTGATATCTACAATATTAGGCATATTGTAGCAAAATTTCTTTCATCTTTAGCATTTCATTGTCTTTAACCTCCACAAGTGACATCAGGTTTTAAAATTCAGCTTTGTTCATTTATTTATATGTACTCAAGCTTAAAAACGGCATTGAAGTCAATGTATTTGGAAATATAGGACATGAGAGACAGAGAAAGGAGAGAGAGAGAGAAAGAGAGAGAGAGAGAAATATGGAGGGAGAGGTACAGGAAGAAGAAGAGAGATGGATACATCTAAGCTGTTTCTGATTATTTTCAATTATTGCTTGATATAAACCTGCTTCTATCCATCTACTTCCCCACAAACCTGTTCCAGGAATTATTTGTCTAGAAAAATTTGATGCCTACTTGCTCTGAAATTTTTGACTCCAGGATCGCACAGTTGTTCATGTATTAGTAGATTTTGAATCCTACTGCTTTCTGCAGATCTTTTTATGAATGCCTGTAAAGTGTGTCAGAATTAGGTTTGAAAGCAAAATCATATGCTGCCATATGGAAAATTAGAAAGAGAGCAACGTAAGACTGGTGATTTTTAAGAGCATGGAAATACATATTTTCACATGAACTTCAAAAAATTTACACGCTTTCTTAAATATCCTTTGCTGAGCTGAACCTAAGCATAAAAAATACAATAATTCTGATATAGAGAAAAGTTTCTAGCACCTGAACTTGACCTAACCTTTAAGAATTTCTGTGACTTGTTTTTTTTTTTTCATGTCTGCTGTCTCACACTTGATGTGTCACCAGCCACACTATATTACTTCTGCACGTGCCAGGTTGTGTGTTACTACTGTGCTTCAATTATGTTCTTTACTCCTTCCTTTTCCATTTCTTTACTAATGCTTCTTGAGCACCTATTAAGTGTCAGTCTTTGTGCTAGATGTACAGTGGGAAATAACATACAACATGCCCTTGCAGTGTTTGCCAAAGCAAGGTTCATATTCTAAAGAAGAAAGTCTTGTCATTTTTGACAACATGGATGAACCTGGAGGACATTATGTTAAGTGAAATAAGCCAGAAATGGAAAGACATATACAGCATAACCTCACTCCTTTGTGAAGTCTCATGGAAGTAGAGAGTAGACTGATGACTTCCAGGGGCTGGAAAGACATTGGTCAAAGGATACAAAATTTCAGTTACATAGAAGGAAGAAATTCAAGAGAGCTATTGTATAACATGGTGACTATAGTTAACAATATATAGCATTCTTGAAAAATGTTAAGAGAATGGGTGTACCAGTTGTCAGCACAAAAATGGTAACAATGTGAGGAAACGCATATGTTAATTACCTAGATTTAGTCATTCCACAATATATATATACTTCAAAACATCATGGATGTAAGTGTTCTCACCACAAAAATGATAACTATTTGAGGAAATGCATATGTTAATTACTTAGATTTAGTCATTCCAAAATGTAAATATACTTCAAAACATCATGTCATACTTAGTACAATACATACAATTGTATCTGTCCATTAAAAATATTTGAAATTTTTAAAAAGAACATGATAAGGAAATGAAAAGGTTCTCTGCCTCCAGGTGGTAGGGATGGATGGCTTATCTTTTTGACTAATACACTGGGTGAATATCTCATCCAGAATGAGTATGATTATTTAATTTCCATCTTCCCAATACAAGGAGAATTAAGAGCAGCTGGAGAAAAATTACAGCCATTGAAACTGCTGCTTTCCTTTCTCCATCATTCTTATAAATTCTGCTGTACTTTTATCTCCTCTGTTCTATAATTTTTATCCCTTTTGTTTATTGCCTTCTCTCCAGAAGTCATAAGCAATTTCAAGCGCCTTCCCATTATAAAAAAATAAATAACAATAAAAGCCATTGCCATGATCCTACAATCTCTGGAGATATTATTCAATGTTATTCTTCTATTTTTCTTTCAAGTTTTTTTTTTTACTTTTTATTGCTATTTCTACTTCCTCACATTCAACTGAACTGTCATTTCAATACCACTGGCTTCTATATCCACCACATGACTATATATAAACATATGAAAGTCAATAATTGCCAAATGTAACAGATATTTTTTTTCAATTCAACTATTAAAAATACCCCAGAAGGATTTGCCATGTTTTTACTATCTGTTTGTAGACCCATTGCAACCATGGAGACCACAGGCAGCTGTTACTTCCTGCTCTATCTGCTTCTCTTTAATTATGTTTTATCTTCATTTCCTTAGCATTATATCCTTTATGTAGCCATCTTCTAATTATTTGGGTAATTTAAACAGTTCTCCTGATTTCAGCTAATGAAAATCAATCCTGTAACTTGTCCTGAAATAGCATAAGGCACTTTATTGATAATATGTTCAAGTCTGAAATCTTTGATATTTGAACCTCTCTTCTTCTGATATTCTTTATTGTAGTTACTGACACTATACCAGCATCTTAGAATAAAGTCTGCCTTTCTTTAATCTTACAATTCATTGATTGATTGTTAAATTCATATACATTTCTGTTTATATACTCCTGAGTTGATTTCCTAATCTTTATGTTTATAATCATGTCATTAACTTGTGTTCTTTATATCTTAACTGTGTACACCTACTTACATATCTTACCTATAACTATCCATAACCATCTTACCAGTTGCTGTCAAGGTGTATATCACATAATATATTTTCCCTACATACAACCCTTTGTTGACTTCCCCTGTGTGTGAGATTAACTGACCAGATCCTTTCCATGACACGTGAAGCCATCACAGGTTGCACACCCATGAAACCAGCCTTGTTCACGTTATGATCAAACAGCATATACTGCTTACATTCACCATAATTTACTCATTTTGTTTAGTATTGTAAAATTTTATTTATAATTCACTTTGTAGTTCATCATTTTCTTAGTTTGTTTTGTCTCCTCTGCCAGGAATGTTCTTCCCATCTTCCTCTTTAATGAATCTACTTTCGACTTAATGTTCTAGATTAATATCTGGACGAGTGTTACTACCTCAGGAATCATTTCATGTCCCCGCCCTGCACATGCACAACTGTATAAACCTGGATATTCACAAACTTCATTATGTGCATCTCTTTTTCTTATTCACTTCTCTATTTTATAACAATCTGATTATAAGAGAGTCTTCTGTAATATACTCCAAATTCCTTTGGGGGCAGTAATTCCATATTATTTATCAATCTTTGTCTTTGTATACAATTTTGCAGGTGCTCAATACCTACAGCCTTCTAATTCCAAACAATATATGTGAAAAATGAATGAAGTATGCCATTGTAATAATGCTTGAATGCTGGGAGTTTAGAATACCAGCTGTTTATTGTTGTTTAAAACATGGAATAACTGTTATCCACTTCAATTGGTTGCCATGAAAAAGTGTGTGTAAGGTCTTGAAGAAATATCAACATGAATAAAATAAAATATATTGTAAAAATCAAGGTAAATATAACATCTTTTATTATTCTGTAAGAAGCAAATGATGTAAGAGTTGCCATGTCTTAAAAAATAAGTTTCATTCAAGAGCAAAAGCTACTAAACTGGGGCCACTTTATAGAAGGGACCTTTGCTTAAATAATTTAATTTGCCTTCTAGCATCTGGCCACCAGTTAAAAGAACCAGTTACAAATTAGCAAAGTCTGTTATATATTAAGGTGAAATTCAGCATACAAAAATCAATATGAAGAGAAGGATTTGATTTTCATAAATTTAACCTAATTATTTGAGATAATTATTCCTCCCAACATTTTCTTACCTTCTTTTGCCCTCATCAGCACAATCACCAAGACTCTTACTCTTTACATATTTTTCCAGTGGTTTCTGCTTGTTATAAACTACATTGACATTTTGAACTCTCAAAATATTTCTTAATTAGTTAAGGCATAATTTCTCTGGTTTTCTATTTTCTCTAGGTTTTCATGTTGAAAACTGCTTTGAACATTAATAGAAAAAAATTTTCAGGTTTAAATAGTGCTTTAAAATCTCAGTTTTAGGAAGAATATTCTCTGACATGCATTATTTCCTATGTGGATACTGCAAAGGTTTTAGTTACAAATACTTTCTATCTCACAGCTGTTCTCCTTTAAGCTATCATTATGTCAATTTTCTTTTAAACCATTATTTATGATGCACAAATAGCTTTTATATTTCAAGAAAGGAATTTGTCAGAAGAGAGAACAATACTAGAAGCTACTTAATAGTAAATCATATCTCATATTTTGTTCTATGTGACTTTTTTTATGGCCTTCAATGTTTGACCCTAATGTAGATACGTGATTGTTAATGATTTATTTTCCTTTCCTTTTCTCTTACTATTTTTATTGTGGATTGCGGGTAGTGTTAATCTTTGTAGTTTATGTTGCAGGTCATCAGACTATTAAGAACCATATCTGTACCTAATGGAGAGGACTATATATTGCCTGTAGATAGTGACATGAGGTAGACACTGTGACCAAATGGATTTTGTGTCTCTCTTGAATTTGAGAGTGAGAGCATCTTCCTTTGTGTTATATATAATTGTTTTATGTTAGGCAGATGCATTGAGTTGTTTAAATATGAGTCAAAACATGAAAATGGGTGCTGAGTGACACAAATGTAAAATCTTTGGTTCAGTGCCCATTTGCCCTCAGATGCAGCCATTGACTTTTCCATCCTTCCTACTATTTACTTCAGGGCAATTAACGTTGGAAGATGTGTTCCTTAGACTACCATTTCAGCTGACTTATGGCTTGGTTCAACCAGTCACTGATAAAGGAAGAAAGCAGAGTATTTCTCCTTTTCCTGAGCCTCTGGCAGCATTTCTGACAGTGCTAGTTTACATATATGGCTCCAACTCTCACTAAAGAAACTCCCTCATGAAACCAGGTTCCACTGAGTGATTCTGGATCCTGATGTCTTTAATCACAAAAGTAAGGCAGCTTCTTTCTTTTGTGCCTCCATCTGGTCATAGCCTCCAGCTGTTGGTAATCTCTGAATTGATTTGTGACCTGCTTGCCTTCTCCATCACTTTATAATCAATACTTGAATTAAATTCCATCTGTTTTAAGTACCCAGAATGGTTTCTGTTTTCATATTGAGCTCTGGTAGATATAGGAAAAGACAATGAAATACCAGGATCAGTGGATATAGGTCCTGCTCATGCAGATGAATTGTTGGAGTTAGGTATCAGAGGGAGTAAACCAGAGGAGAGGAACTGGTCAGACAATAGGATATTTGAAATGGATATTGCATTTACAATTATTAATAATAACTACGTTTAACCATAGAAATTAATGTCCAAGATACTGGGAGGAAAGTGCCATTGTAAGAGAAAACAAATTAGAACTGAGAGGTCAGAGTATTGAAAAGAGCCTGACAAAGACTTTCTCCATGACCAAAATTTTGTCAGGCTTTCTGAGTAATTTTCTCCACTAGGCCCCAACCTCTGGATTTCTTTATCTATATTTGCCTTACCCAATTTTAGGAAGAAATCCTGCTAAGTCAGTTTTAGCCAGAATCCCCATGTTCTATATCTAATTGTCCACAATATCTGATTAAAATCCTCATCACCTACCATCCTTCAGGTGATATCTTATCACTCTGGCCTGCCTTCAGCAAAAATCCTCTTAGGTCTGTTTAACTAGAACCTTGACCTCCAGCCTTGATATTTTCTGTTTCTCATTCACTGACTTTATGGCTGCACTTATGGTTGCAACATAAGCGTGTGGTGTAAAGGCATTTGATTTAAAATTAGGGAGGACATTGTTTAGGAAAGAAGAGAATGGTCTAGAAAAGGCAATGGAAAGAACAGAAGACAGCTCTCCTTGTCTAAACGTCATATATTTGCAGGAAAGAAAACAACCACAACTTGAGAGAGCTTCAAGAAAAGCAGTGTCCTCAAGGGAGAACATTTTTTAAGTAATAAAAAAGGGAGGAGAATATCGAGAGCGTGTTGAGAATGTGTGTGATTTTACCAATGTATGGACTGAATCCCCAAGGACTCAGTGGAAGAGATTCAAAATTTAGGAACAGTAATGAATATGAGTGATAAAAGCAGATATATAGACATATAGAAAAAGAATCCAGGGGATAGGAGATCAATAGAAAGTTCTGAGTTTGTTGAAGGCAGGTAGGGATTTTTTCTGTTGGTTACAAGGCAGATGATAGTATTATGTCTTGGAATGATAATGAGGGCTAAGGTGAAGGGGAGTACAGATGGGCAGCTGATGACTAAGAACTCCTGGACATGTTACTCCTGCTTATAAAGTTGGAATGAGTCATTCTTTTCCTCTCAATTTCCAGGTATTACATTGGTTGTGATCTGACATGTATTACCTTTCGAATGGAATTATTTTCCCATTCCCACACAGGATCAATTTCTTAATACTTACAAGTTATCCAGAAAAGCCAGAAATGTCCATCATACCTAACCCTAATTCTTCCAGAAATAGGTAATACAAAATGTTAAGGGAAATATTTTTATTTTATCACCTAATGGAGTGGCAGATTTTAGTGATTTGCCATGGGAATTTTTTTAAACCTTATGTAAATATCAAACTGGCCCATTGTTTTCTACCAGCCACTAACTACAATTGTTTTCCTCATTTCTTTGCATTCCTAAATGCTGTCAGCCACTATTAGGAACTTGTCATGGTGAAATTCAGGACTGGCACTGGATCATGGTCAATAGTTATTCTCTAAAGTATAATTGACACCTGTGTAAACTTATAATTAGCTTTATACCACACAAGGTGCCATATATTTAGAATTGTTGAAAGATTAGTGAAGAGTGAGTATTTTAATAACCTTAAACTTGCCAGCTTTTTGTCAGTACCTGGGTTAAATGGGATATCTGCAGATTTGCTACTCAGGTATGATTTTATTTGATTCATTTAATTCAGTCTGTGATTACTGAATGCATACTGTGTTAGATACTCAAAGTCCAAAAATATAACTAAATATTCTGTTCCTTTTGAGGTGCTTTAGTTATGGTTTTTAAAGC
The DNA here is from genome assembly GCF_000001405.40 of Homo sapiens. Lineage (NCBI taxonomy): Eukaryota > Metazoa > Chordata > Mammalia > Primates > Hominidae > Homo > Homo sapiens. Next base: position 34,185 of record NW_015148967.1, read on the forward strand.
TTTTAAAATTCTGTACATAGTACTGTATTAGGCCTACAGTTTGAAAATGATCATTCATTAATTTATTCACTAATTATTTCAAGCATTCTGTGTCCTTAGCAAGGTAGCAGAATATATAATACATCAAAAATAATAATGCTATTCTATATTTTAATAAGCAACTTCAGCAAAGTCTCAGGATACAAAATCAGTGTGCAAAAATCACAAGCATTCTTATACACCAACAACAGACAAACAGAGAGCCAAATCATGAGTGAACTCCCATTCACAATTGCTTCAAAGAGAATAAAATACCTAGGAATCCAACTTACAAGGGATGTGAAGGACCTCTTCAAGGAGAACTACAAACCACTGCTCAAAGAAATAAAAGAGGATACAAACAAATGGAAGAACATTCCATGCTCATGGGTAGGAAGAATCAATATCGTGAAAATGGCCATACTGCCCAAGGTAATTTACAGATTCAATGCCATCCCCATCAAGCTACCAATGCCTTTCTTCACAGAATTGGAAAAAACTACTTTAAAGTTCATATGGAACCAAAAACGAGCCTGCATCGCCAAGTCAATCCTAAGCCAAAAGAACAAAGCTGGAGGCATCACACTACCTGACTTCAAACTATACTACAAGGCTACAGTAACCAAAACAGCATGGTACTGGTACCAAAACAGAGATATAGATCAATGGAACAGAACAGAGCCCTCATAAATAATGCCGCATACCTACAACTATCTGATCTTTGACAAACCTGAGAAAAACAAGCAATGGGGAAAGGATTCCCTATTTAATAAATGGTGCTGAGAAAACTGGCTAGCCATATGTAGAAAGCTGAAACTGGATCCCTCCCTTACACCTTATACAAAAATCAATTCAAGATGGATTAAAGATTTAAACGTTAGACCTAAAACCATAAAAACCCTAGAAGAAAACCTAGGCATTACCATTCAGGACATAGGCATGGGAAAGGACTTCATGTCTAAAACACCAAAAGCAATGGCAACAAAAGACAAAATTGACAAATGGGATCTAATTAAACTAAAGAGCTTCTGCACAGCAAAAGAAACTACCATCAGAGTGAACAGGCAACCTACAACATGGAAGAAAATTTTCCCAACCTACTCATCTGACAAAGGGCTAATATCCAGAATCTACAATGAACTCAAACAAATTTACAAGAAAAAAACAAACAACCCCATCAAAAAGTGGGCGAAGGACATGAACAGACACTTCTCAAAAGAAGACATTTATGCAGCCAAAAAACACATGAAAAAATGCTCATCATCACTGGCCATCGGAGAAATGCAAATCAAAACCACTATGAGATACCATCTCACACCAGTTAGAATGGCAATCATTAAAAAGTCAGGAAACAACAGGTGCTGGAGAGGATGTGGAGAAATAGGAACACTTTTACACTGTTGGTGGGACTGTAAACTAGTTCAACCATTGTGGAATTCAGTGTGGTGATTCCTCAGGGATCTAGAACTAGAAATACCATTTGACCCAGCCATCCCATTACTGGGTATATACCCAAATGACTATAAATCATGCTGCTATAAAGACACATGCACACGTATGTTTATTGCGGCATTATTCACAATAGCAAAGACTTGGAACCAACCCAAATGTCCAACAATGATAGACTGGATTAAGAAAATGTGGCACATATACACCATGGAATACTATGCAGCCATAAAAAATGATGAGTTCACGTCCTTTGTAGGGACATGGATGAAATTGGAAATCATAATTCTCAGTAAACTATCACAAGAACAAAAAACCAAACACTGCATATTCTCACTCATAGGTGGGAATTGAACAATGAGATCACATGGACACAGGAAGGGGAATATCACACTCTGGGGACTGTAGTGGGGTGGGGGGAGGGGGGAGGGATAGCATTGGGAGATATACCTAATGCTAGATGACGAGTTAGTGGGTGCAGCGCACCAGCACGGCACATGTATACATATGTAACTAAGCTGCACAATGTGCACATGTACCCTAAAACTTAAAGTATAATAAAAAAATAAAAAAATAAAATAAATAAATAAAGAAAGAAAGAAGAAAAAAATATATATTTTTCTTTTATGAATTAGCTACATCATTTTATTATATTTGGCTATTTCTCATTATAAGTGCTATATTGTAATTGAAATAAGTCTTTGTCAGTGACAAAATATAATACCTCATATGCACACATATATTCTTCAGTTATATGTATAACACTTCATAAGTATTTTTCATTGACAAGACAATGCTGATTTCAACTAAATTTATTTACAGTAATTTCTAAGTCAAATTGTTAAGTGACAGATCCCTAAATTATCTAAGCCATCAAAGAAATTTGCACATTTCTCAACAGTTCAGCTATTTTACCTATATAGAAAGGCAAACTTATGGCACATTTTTAAAGAAAAATTTTGAGAATAAATTCACAATGTTTACTTCTTTAGAAAACCTATACTTGACGAACTTTGGTAAGTAATGCAGGAGGTGGCGTCCTAAGTTTTGGATGTGATTAAAATTTTGGTTAAGCATTTAACTGATACATGTATAAACTTCACTTTTGCAGAAGTAAGATTACTGGAATTTATGGTATACACATTTCAACACTCATAGGAGTTGCCAAATTTCTCTACAAAGTGTTTGTTGCCAATTATATTGTTATCAGAAATGCACATTTGTCCTTTGTGTATCCATATTAATATTGTTTATGAATACTAGTTTTCAATGACTGTGATATAATATGATATTGTTTGTTTAATGTTAATTGTCTTGATTACTAGTGGGATTGAACAACTATTTCTTTCTTTTTTTGTTGTTTTTTACTTTTATTTTAGATTCAGCAGTTATGTGTGCAGATTTGTTACCTGGGTATAGTGTGTGATGCTTAGGTTTGGAATATTAATGATCATATCACCCAGGTACTGAGCATAGTATATGATAGGTATTCAACCCCTGTTCCCTACCCTCCTTAATCCCTCTAGTAGTCTCCAGTTTGTATTCTTGCCACCTTTATGTCTATGAGTACCCAGTGTTTAGCTCCCATTTATGAGTGAAACATGTGGTATTTGGTTTTCTATTTCTGCGTAAATTTGCTTAAGATAAAGGGTCTCCAGCATCATTCATGTTGCTGCAAAGGGCATAGTTTTTTTCTTTTTTATGGCTGCATAGAATTCCATGGTGTATATGTGCTACATTTTCTTTATCTAATCAACTATTGATAGGCACCTAGGTTGATTTCATGTCTCTGCTTTTGTGAATAGTGTTTTGCCTCAATGAACATGTCAGTACATATATGTTTTTGGTAGAATGATTTATTTTCTTTTGGATAGATACCAAGTAATGGGATTGCTGGACCAAGTGGTAGTTCTGGTTTAAATTATTTAAGAAATCTCTGAACTGATTTCCACAGTGGCTTAACTAATTTACCTTCCCACCAGCAGTGTATAAGCATTCCTTTCCCTGCAGCCTTGCCAGCATCTTTTATTTTTATTTTTTAATAATAGCCATTATGACTGGTATGAGATGGTATCTCATTATGGTTTTGATTTGCATTCTCTGATGATTTAGTGATGTTAAACATTTTTTCATAAATTTATTGGCCACTTGTATCTCTTCTTTTGAGAAGTGTCTTGAACAACTTTTGCTTTATCAGTTAAGAATCCTGGTTTCTACCTCTTTAGTTGTCCTTAAAATTATTTTTGTAAAAAAAAACCTTTTTATTCATTTTCTTATTTTTATTTATCAATGTATAGAATATATATATTCTCTATACTAATGCTTTGTTGCAAATATATGGGTTGCAAATATATTTTATTGCATTTATTATGTACTCTTTTATTAGAATTTTTATCAATAAAATTGTAGTTTCAAATGCTACTATAAGAAATAATAGAGAGAAGACCTGTGTACACTTTATCCAGTTTCTCACAATGGTAAAATTTTGCAAACTATATTATAAAACAACAACTAACATTGGTGTTTGTACAATTCATGGATCTTACTCAGATTTATCCAGCTTTACTTACATCTGTGTGTGTGTGTGTGTGTGAGAGAGAGAGTATATGTGTGTTTATGTAGTTCTATATAACTTTACCACGTGTGTAAGTTCATATATACACTACTACACTCAAGATTTACTGAACAGTTCCATTACCAAAAGGATCCCTCCTGTCACCTTTCTATTACCACGCCCATCTCTTCCTGACAATTCTCTGCCACTGATCACCTCCACTTCAGTCCCTGTCCCTAACCACTAGCATGCACTAACCTGTTTCCATTTCTAAAATTTTGCCATTTGAAAATGTCTTCCTTTCTGGAGCTGGAAACCATCATTCTCAGCAAACTGTCACAAGGGAAAAAAACCAAACACCACATGTTCTCACTCATAGGTGGGAATTGAACAACGAGAACACTTGGACACAGGAAGGAGAACATCACACACTGGGGCCTGTTGTGGGGTGGGGGTAGCGGGGGAGGGATAGCACTAGAGATATACCTAATGTGAATAACGAGTTAATGGGTGCAGCATACCAACATGGCACACGTATACATACGTAACAAACCTGCACGTTGTGCACAGGTACCCTAGAACTTAAGGTAAAATAAAAAGTATATATATAAATAAAAAATAAATAAATAAATTATCAAAAAAAGAAAACGTCTTATATATGAAACTATATATAAGTTGCTCACCTTTTGAATGTGGATATTATTTAGTTTTTATTTTTATTTTAATCCTGGTGTACATGTGCAGGATGTGCAGGTCTGTTACATAGGTAAACATGTGTCATGGTGGTTTGCTGCACCTATCAAAACATTGCCTAGGTATTAAGCTCAACATGCATTAGCTATTTTTCCTAATGCTCTCTCTTCCCCCACTCCACCCTCAGACAGGCCCCAGTGTGTGCTGCGCCCCAGTGTGTGTCCATGTGTTCTCATTGTTTAGCTCCCACTTATAAGTGAGAACATGCGGTGTTTGGTTTTCTGTTCCTACGTTGGTTTGCTGAGGATAATGGCTCCAGCTCCATCTATGTTCCTGCAAGGACATGATTTTATTCCTTTTTTGTGGCTGCATAGTATTCCATAGTGTATATGTACCACATTTTTTTTATCCAGTCTATCACTGATGGACATTTGGATGGATTCCATGTATTTGCTATTGTGAATAGCGCTGCAATGAAAGTAAGTGTGCATGTATCTTTGTAAAAGAATGATTTATATTCCTTTGCATATATAACCACTAATGGGATTGCTGGGTCAAATGGTATTTCTGGTTCTAGATCTTTGGGGAATCCCCGCACTGTCGTCCATAATGGTTGAACTAATTTACATTCTCACCAACAGTGTTAAACCATTTTCCTATTTCTCTGCAACCTTCCCAGCATCTGTTGTTTCTTGACTTTTTAATAATTGCCATTCTGACTGGCATGATATGGTATCTCATTGTGATTTTGATTTGCATTTCTCTAATGATCAGTGATGTTGAGCTTTTTTTCCATATGTTTGCTGGCCACATGAATGTCTTCTTTTGAGAAATGTCTGTTAATATCTTTGCCCACTTTTTAATGGTTTTTTTTTCTTATAAATTTGTTTAACTTCCTTGTAGATTCTGGATATTAGACCTTTTCTGATGAACGGATAAATTCCTGGACACATACACCCTCCCAAGGCTGAACTAAGAATAAGTTAAAGCCCTGAATAGACCAATAACAAGTTTTGAAATTGAGGCAGTAATAGCCTACCAACCAAATAAAAGACCAGAACCAGATGGATTTACAGCTGAATTCTACCAGAAATACAAAGAGGAGCAGACATCCGTCCTTCTGAAACTATTCCAAGCAATTGAAAGGAGAGACTCCTCTCTAACTCATTCTATGAGGCTGGCATTATCTTGATACCAAAATCTGGCAGAGATATACAACAAAAAAGGAAAACTTCAGGCCAATATCCCTGATGAACATTAGTGTAAAAATTCTCAATAAAATACTGGAAAACCAAATCTAGCAGCCCATCAAAAAGCTTGTCCACCACAATCCAGTTGGCTTCATCCCCAGGATGCAAGGCTGGTTCAATATACACAAATCAATAAATGTAATTCATCACATAAACAGAACTAAAGACAAGAAACACATGGTTATTTAATTAGATGCAAAAAAGGACTTCAATAAAATTCAACATTCCTTCATGTTAAAAACTCTCAATAAACTAGGTATTTAAGAAACATACCTCAATATAATAGCCATTTATGACAAACCCACAGCCAATATCATACTGAATAGGCAAAAACTGGAAGCATTCCTCCTGAAAACTAGCAATAGACAAGGATGCCCTCTCTCACCCCTCCTACGCAACATAGCATTGGAAGTTTTGTCCAGCACAATCAAGCAATAGAAAGAAATAAAAATTCCTCTTTTCAAATAGGAAGAGAGGAAGTCAAATTGTCTTTGTATACAGATACTGTGATCCTATGTCTAGGAAACCTTGTCGTCTCAGCCCAAAAGCTTCTTAAGCTGGTAAGCAACTTCACCAAAGTCTCAGGATACAAAGTCAAAGTGCAAAAGTCACAAGCATTCCAATACACCAACAACCAGCAAGCCAAGAACCAAATCATGTATGAACTGCCATTCACAATTGCTACAAAGAGAATAAAATACCTAAGAATACAGCTAAAATGGGACATGAAGGACCTCTTCAAAGAGAACTACAAACCACTGCTCAAGGAAATCAAAGAGGACACAAAGAAATGGAAATTCATCCCATGTTCATGGATAGGATGAATGTGGATTTTTATTTAGCATAATCCTTTCAAGATTCATCTGAGTTATTGAATGTGTATAGAGTTTGTTCTTTTCCATTCAGAGTAGTATTCCATGCTATGTATATACACAGTTAGTTTAGTTGTTCACCTGTTGGATATCTGAGCTATTTCCAGTTTGAGCTCTAATGATAAAAACTACCATGAATATTTTTGTTCAAGTTTTTTTGAGAAGATAAGTTTTCAAATGATAGTTTAGTTTGTATAGTAATTATATGTTTACTTTTACAAGAAATTGACAAATTGGTTCCCAGAGTATATCCACCATTTTACCTTCCCACCAGCAATATATGATTGACCCAGTTTCTTTGCATCTTCCCCTGCATTTGGTATCCTATTTTTTAAAAAAAAATTTATTTGCCATTCTGCTGTAGTGATATTGTGGTTTTGATTTATATTTTCCTGCTGCATAATAATGTTGAATAGCTTTTCATGTGCTTATTTGCCATTTTTATATCCTCTTCATAATTTGGGCCATTTTATAATTAGATTTTTTGGCTTGTTTGGCTGTTGAATTTTGATTTTTCTTTTTGTGTATTCTAGACACAGGACTTTGCCAGATATGAGTTTGGCAAATATTTTTGCTTTGTCTGGTGTTAATCTTTTTATTTTCTTTATAGATCTTTGGCAGAGCCCATATATTTCTATTTAAATTATGGAATAAACTTGTCTATGTCTATGAAAATTCTTTCTAGCACCTTTACTAAAATTGCATTAAACAGCTTTAGATAATTCTGCAGACAAATGGCATCCGTACTATATTGATTCCAATTCATGAACAAAAGTTGTCTCTTCATTAATTTAAGCCTACTTGATTTTCTTCATCAGCATTTTGTAACTTTCATTGTAAAAATCCATACAGAGTCTTTTAAGTGTTTACCTCAGTATTGCAAATTATTTGGAGTAATTGCATGTAGTATTGTGTTTCCATTAAATTTCTGCATTTTCATTTTTTTATATTGAAATGTGTTTTTTAAAATTGATCCTGAGTCTTAAAACATTTAGGCATTTGGGGAATTTGACTTGTTGTGATTTCTTATGTTATAAGAAATAATCATGTAGTCTACAAATGGTGAGTTTTGTCTTTTTTATTTTTCAATCTGTATTTCTCTATCTTGCCTTATTACACTGAATAGAATTTTCAATACTATGTTGAATAAGAGTAGGGTGAACAGATATACTTTCCTTATTTCCAATCTCATATAGGAGAGCATTCAGTCTTTCACCATAAAGAATTATATCAGTTATAAGCTTAGGGTGATGTTATTTTTCAAGTTGAGGTAATTCCCTTGTATTTCTAACTTTTTAAGAGCTTCTATCATGAATGGTTATTGGATTTTGTTAAATGCTCTTGTGTCAATGGATATGATCAACAGATTTTTCTTCATTAGTTAGTGGATATGGTAGATAACATTATTGATTTTTGAGTGTTCAACCAGCCTTGCACCGAGAAATAAATCCCACTTGATCATGGCCTATAATTATTTTCATATATATTGTAGTTGATCTTCTAATATTTTGAGATTCCTTATATATCAACTTTTTTGCATGCAAAATTGTGAGAGATATATGTCTATAGTTTTCTTTGATTTTGTACTATCTTTGTCAATTTTGGTATTACGGTAATACTAGCCTAGTGAAATGATTAATGAATGAATATTCCCTCTTCTAAAATTGCTAATTAGCAATTGCAATTAGCAATTGCTCTGAATATTTCCTTCCTGCTTTTTGCTCTGAGTTTAATTTGCTCTTCTATTTTCTAGTTTCTTGATGTAGAAACTTTGATTTTTGATTTGAGACTAGTCCTTGTCAAAGATTTTATATTTGACATAAACTATTTAAGAGTGTGTGTTTAATTTTCATGTGTTTAGAGATTTTCCTGTGGTCATTCTATTATTGATTTCTGCTTCAATGTCATTGTTGGCAGGGGACACATTCTGTTGTGATTCTCTAGTGAAACAATTTTAGATTGGTGATTTCTTTTCTGGGAGCTTTTAAATTAATAATTTCATTTTTAAATGATCGACTATAAGGCATCATGTTTGAGTTTCAGTGATTTGTGCTTTCTGAAGAACAGTTCCATTTTTTTCTAATTGATGTTCACCAAGGCACTCATAGTATTTTTTTTTTTTTTTTTTTTTCTTGAGACAGAGTCTCACTCTGTCACCCAGGCTGGAGTGTAGTGGCACGATCTCGGCTCACTTCAATCTCCACCTCCTACGTTAGGTAATTTTCCTGCCTCAGCCTCCAGAGTAGCTGGGATTACAGGCACCTGACACCACGCCCAGCAAATTTTTGTATTTTTAGTGGAGACTGGGTTTCACCATGTTGGCCAGGCTGGTCTTGAACTCTCGTCCTAAAGTGATCTGTCTGCCTCAGCCTCCCAAAGTGCTGAGATTACAGGCATGACCCAACGTGCCCAGCCAGTATTCTATTATTAATGGCTGTAAAATTTATATTATATCCCCAATTTCATTTCTCATATTGACAATTTGTGTTTTCTTTTATTATTTTTGCTAGTCTTACCAGTTTATTAATTTAATTTGAAGAACCAGTGTTCATCAATGTTCTCTATCATTTTCCAATTTTCAATTTTATTGATTTTTGCTCTGAATATTTCCTTCCTGCTTTTTGCTCTGAGTTTAATTTGCTCTTCTATTTTCTAGTTTCTTGATGTAGAAACTTTGATTTTTGATTTGAGACTAGTCCTTGTCAGCAATGTAAGCACTTCATGCTATACATTTTTCTCTCAGCATTGCTTTAGCTGCATCTCTTGCATTTTTGTATGCTCCATATGTATTTTCATTCTAGTCTACATTTTTTAAAATATTTTATATTTGACATAAACTATTTAAGAGTGTGTGTTTAATTTTCATGTGTTTAGAGATTTTCCTGTGGTCATTCTATTATTGATTTCTGCTTCAATGTCATTGTTGGCAGGGGACACATTCTGTCTGATTTCATTTACTTTAAATTTATTGAGATTTATTTTATGAATTAGCATACAGACTATTTCAATTAATGTTCTGTTGATTGTTGAAAAATGTGTATTCTGATATTGTTTGGTGAGGGGTTCTATAAATGTCAGTTAGATCCTACTGGTTGAGTGTGCTGTTCAGATTTTCTATATCCTTTGTTATTTTCTATCTAGTAATTCTCTCAGTTGTTAAGTGGGAGATACAGTTTCCAATTATATTTGTGGATTTGTTTTTTACTTTTTTCAGTTCTAGACATTTTTGCTTCATGAATTTTGAAGCTTTCTTGTTTACTGAGGACACAATTGGGATTGTTAGGTCATCTTGTTAAATGGATCTTCTGTCATTATTAAACTTCTTTCTGTCTCTAATAGTTTTCTTGGATTTTATGTCTACTTTATTAGGCCGTATATATTATATATTAATAAAGTCACACATGCTTTTTTATCTTTAATGTTTTAAATAGCATTTCCTTTTCCATCCTTTAACTATCAGCCTACCTATGTTGTTGAATGTGAAGTGTATGTCTTCACTTTTCTTAGGGGAAGAGTCTCAGGTCTACTAAGAACGACTCTTGAGACTGGGTCTCTTTTGTTGGTTTTGCCAACCTTTACTGGGCTATCCCAGTGGAGTAAGGAAATATCAGGCCTAAATGGGATGGAGAGCACTTCTTCTGGTCACTAACTGATGCCAGAATTTCTGATCATTCATTTGCCATTGGTATTGCACTCACCTGATATCAGAGGGTATTCATTTCAACATGGTGAAAAAATTAGCCTAGATAGGATGCCTACTTTTACTAGGTTTCAGGTCAAGAAATGCCTGCAAGGCTTCTTCTGTTTTGTGGGTATATGCAAGACATATACTGCTGATGCCACATTCTCAAATCCAGGGTTCCAAACCAGTTGTCAGCATTGTCTTTTGCTTGCCTCTTGAGTAGTTTATAGAGTTTATAGTTGTGCTTAGCAGGGAGAAGCAAGAAGAAATAGTTCTATATCATATCCAGACTGAAAAAGATGCTGTTTTTGGACATCTTGAAAATAGTAATTTTAGAGCTATCAATTTTATCATTATTTTTCCTTATGATTTATACATTTCAAGTCTTGTTCAAGAATCTTTCCCTACACTGACGTCACATGATATTACATATTTTCTGTCAAAATTCGTGCGTTTTTACCTTTAGACATTAAGATCTTTAATCTACCTGATTTAATTTACTCTAAAGAAATAATCTAATTTTGAAATTTTCTCATAGTCTAGTGAATTTTCCTGGTACCATATAACATATGCTTTTCAAACACATTTTTTTCATATAGGTTTCAATGCATATGCAATGTATATGTGTTTCTAGGCTATAATTTTATGGTAATATATTTATTTATCACCCTGATAATATGACAATATTTTTTATAACCATAATAATTCATTTTTAATTGACACAGTGAGTCACTACATATTTCTGAAAAATTGCCTTAGGTTTTAACACTTTACACTTTTATAAAATCACCTTGTTCAGTTTCATCCAAAACTATGTTGTGTATTTGAATGAAATTACATTTACTTTACAGGTTAATTTGGGCAGATTTTCCAATTTTACAAATCTTCTCTTCCATAAAATGTATTTCTCCATTTATTTAAACATTCTATTCCTATAGAATTTTAAAATTTTCTCTGTAAATGTTTTGCATAATTTTGATATAAATATTCCTTTTTCTTTCTTTTTTTTGGGGGGGATGGGGAACAGAGTCTCGCTCTGTTGCCTAGGCTAGAGTGCAGTGGCACGATATTGGCTCACTGCAACCTCCGCCACCCAGGTTCAAGCAATTCTCCTGCCTCAGCCTTCCAATTAGCTGGGACTACAGGTGCACACTGCCACGCCTGGCAAATTTTTTTGTATTTTAGTAGAGACAGGGTTTCACCGTGTTGCCCAGGCTGGTCACAAACTCCTGACCTCAGGCTGATAGATATATTTCTAAGCACTGTTATCTCCCATGGCTTTTGCAAATTATTTATTTTTTAAGCTTTTATTATCTAATTATTTGGCATATACGTGTATATATATACACATATATATACATATACGTATATATATACATATATATACATATACGTATATATATACGTATATATACATATACGTATATATATACATATATATACATATACGTATATATATACGTATATATACATATACGTATATATATACATATATATACATATACATATATATATGAAAGGCATGTTCTTTCAGCAAATAAAGTTACTGAATTCTCATAATTATATTAATTCCAATTCTCTTATAATTATATTAATTCCAATGCTCTTATATTAATTCCAATTCTCTTACAATTACATTAATTCCAATTCTCTTATAATTATATTAATTCCAAAGAAGATTACTTAGATGTTTTCTGAAATCGTTTCTATGGTCTGAATGTTTGTATTACCCCGAAATTCATGTGTTGAAATCTAATCACAATGTGGTGATATTCCAAGGTCGAGCTTTTGGGAAGTGATTAAGTAATGAGGAAGAAGCCCTCTTGAATGGGATGAGTGCCCTTATAAAAGAGGCCCCAGAGAGCCACCTTACCTTTTCCACCATTTGAAGAACAGAGAAAATGTGGCCTCTATGAACCAGGAAATAAGCCCTCACTAGACACTGAATCTGCTGCTTATTTTGAACTTGATCTTGGACTTTCCAGCTCGCAGAACAGTGAGAAATAAACTTTTATTGTTTATAAAGTATGTAGTCTAAGGTATTTTGTTATAGCATCCTGAGTAAATTAAGAAATCAATTATAAAATGAAAAAAATGAGACTCTTTAAAATTTTTGTCAGATGTACATTTCTAGGAACTTTCTGGAGGAGACCTTAGGGTTTTCAAGGTAACGATCATATTGTTAGCAAATAGTTACAGTTTGACTTCCTCAAGAATCTACAACGAACTCAAACAAATCAGTAAGAGAAAAACAATCCCATCAAAAAGTGTGCTAAAGACATAAATAGACAATTCTCAAAAGAAGATATACAAATTGCCAACAAACATATGAAAAAATGCTCAACATCACTAATGATCAGGGAAATGCAAATCAAAACCACAACGCAATACCGCCTTGCTCCTGTAAGAATGACCATAATCAAAAAACAAAAAACAGTAGACAGTGGCATGGATGTGGTAAACAGGCAACACTTCTACACTGCTGGTGGGAATGTAAACTAATACAGCCACTGTGGAAAACAGTGTGGCGATTCCTTAAAGAACTAAAAGTAGAACTACCATTTGATCCAACAATCCCACTACTGGGTATCTACCCAGAAGAAAATAAGTCATTATTCAAAAAAAAAAATACATGTACACACATGCTTATAGTGACACAATTCACAATAGCAAAATCGTGGAACCAACTCAATCAACAAGTGGATAAGGAAACTGTGATATTATATAATATTATATAATTTATATTATATGATAGAATACTATGCAGCCATAAAAAGGAATGAATTAACAGCATTTGCAGTGACCTGGATGGGATTGGAGACTATTACTCTAAGTTAAGTAACTCAAGAATGGAAAACCAAACATCATATGTTCTCACTGACATGTGAAAGCTAAGCTATGAGGACACAAAGGCAAGAATGATACAATGGACTTGGGGGGAAGAGTGGTGGGGGGGCAAGGGAAAAAAGACTACAAATATGGAGCAGTGTATACTCCTTAGGCGATGGGTGCAGCAAAATATCACAAATCACCACTAAAGAACTTACTCTTGTAACCAAATACCACCTGTATGCCAATAACTTATTTAAAAAATCCTAAGGGTGAGAAAAAAAGAACAAATAATTTTATTGTTTCTCTGATCTTTATTCTTTATTTTCCTGACCATGTCCCCCAATAAGATTTTGAGTAGAAAATTTGTTGATCTTAATTTTAAAGGGCCTGCTTTTAAGATTGTATGATGAAACATGATATATTTTTGCAGGTTTTCATTAGATAGTCTTATCAGGTAAATGAATTTCTCTTTCATATCTCCTATATTTGTAGGTTACAAGGAATATATTTTTATGTTTTTATTTTCTTTTTATAATTGTGTGTCAAAATTGACTAGATAAACCTTGTGTATCTACTTATAACTTTTTAAAAATACGTTACAAGTTTGTTTAAATTAGTTGACGGTAAGCTATCCCTTAATTTCTGAGAAAACATATATTTTATCAGAATATTTTACTTTTGTGTATACATTGCTGGTATAGGTTTCAAATTTTTTTAAAAAAATTTTTAATCTTTGAAAATGTCATTAACCTTCAATCTTTCTCACACTGACCTAAACAAGCTTTAATATGAAGGTTACGTACCAGCAAAATTAAGTGTTCTAGAAATTTGTCATTTTTTAATACATTCTGGTTAAAAAAAATTAGATAAGATAAAAATTATCTTTTATGTGAGAATTTGCTAACATGTGCCACTAAAAATTTTTTTAGAACAACAGTGGGTTTTGTATTAGTGTGAATATTTTTGTGTGTTAATGTGTGTGTCTGTGTATTGAGTGGATATGTCCCTGCAATATCTGTTGTTAGCAATCATTTTTCACTTTTATTTTTGTACCAAACATTTTGTCTTGATCGAACTAATCAGTGGTTATTATTTATTTTGCTTATTTTTATTTTTAATTATTTTATTGTTTCTCACTGTTATTATTATTGTATAATCCTATATCACTAATAATTTGATATTACTTTATTTCTTATTTTGTTACAAGTATTTTGATGTATAATATATTGCTTTCATTTTTGGTTTCTTGATTTTTCTTTTACATTCTTATTCTTATGCCCCTTTTTTTCTTTCTTTCAGTATATTCAGTTGCCTTCCTATTATTAAACCATTGAATTATACATGTTACATTAATTTTCAAGCATTCTTATTTTCAAACATTCTTTTTTCATGATATAAAATATAGAATATATATTTTAATTTATACACTACTTTATTCATACAACACAATTGTTGAATTTAATACTTTTGTTGTCATTCAGTTCTACATATTTTTAATTTAAGTTTACATTCACTTCACTTTTGATTGATAGAATATTTAAATTGTTTATTATTTTAACATAATCCAAAAATTATTAAAAATTGTTTTGTTTCTTTTTGTATTGTTTTTACATTGTAATTTATTTCTTGATATTTGTTTCATATTGTTTCTTTAGTAATTTGGAGACTTGCTTTGTTTCCTCCTATTTGGATGAATGTTCCACGTGTATTCTTCTACATCTGTTGGGTACAGACAAAAGTCCATCAAATCAAGCTTATAAATGAAGTTGTCTCACTTATTTTTTTCTATGGTTTTAAAAATTGTTCTTTCTGTTTAATCTAGCATTTATTGAGAAATAGGCCTACTAGTTTGGTAAATATTTTGAACCTTTGTTGCTATAAGCATTAAAGTTCAGAATCATTTTATATTCACAGTGAATTTCTCCTTCCATAATTTAGAAATGTCCATTTTTATCCTTGACAATGACTTCTTCTGCAAAGTTTGTCATCTCAGAAAATTAATAGAAATATTACTGTGGCAGAAATAAAGCCAAAATTGAAAATCACAGTAGTACTCTTTGCAAAGATTTTGAGAGAGGAAATATGTCTTAATATGCATTGGCTTTGATTTTAATCTGTACACTAGGATAGAGTGTGGGCCTTTTAAACTGCCTAAAGCAGGAATTTGAACTGGTTCCTTCCAGAAGTGGCACTGGCATAATTCTTATTTTAAAAAACAAACAAGACAATACATAAATATAACTTACCTGAAGAACTATAAACCTAGTACCCTACTTGCACAAGGTGAGAAATGAATATTAACAGCAAAAGGTCTATTAAATAAATTAATGTAAAACTACTTTGACCAGATATTGCCACAACTGCAACTGAATGAAATTTACACAGGGGAGAAATGTGCCAATAAAGATACACTCTTTAAGTTATGCAACATAAGACAAAATTTCCATCATGAATTCAAAACATAAGAGAATTAGCATTTCCAAGACCAATAACAGAATATTAATCATCAAGAACATAAAAAATAGTCTTAAAAATAAGCAAATTTATAAAATAACAAATCAGAATAAATATAACAAATTTGGATAACATGAAGAAATTAAAAAGACATTAAAAATCAGTGAACAGGTGAAACCATTCTTTTGCACAGATTAAAAGATAATTAGTGAACTACTCAATAATTATAAAGAAGCAGAGAGGGATAAGGTAATAGAAAATCAGAGTGAATTGTTAGAGGCATGGAAACTGTAGTGAGATGTCTAACAATACAGAATTAGACAAAGTGGAGAGAGCTGACTTTAAATAGGTAATTAAGGTGATTCTAGAATTGATAGAATTCTTGTCTATTCAAGTTCAAGAAGCACAACGGCTCCCGTGTGGAATAAATCCACATGTATACATTCAACAGGGAAAAAAATAAACTCAAATAAAACATTTTGAAGCTTCTAAAGAAAAAACGACAATAGTACTTTTTTAAGAGCAAGGACAATTGGATTTCCTTTGTCATCTCAAGTGCTAGAACAGAAACACATATGATAAAGAACTTCAGTAATGAATTCTTAGAACTCAATAATAAGAATAACATGAAGTCTAACAACATTCTTAACGAATGGACAAGATATTTAAACAGCCACTTCACTAAAATAATTATATGAATGGTAAATAAGCATATGAATAAATGCTGACTACCAGCATGCAAATTAAAATCTCAGCTATATACCCACTAGAAGGGTGACAACTTAAAAATCTTAAAGTCAGAGATGGGAATATAATCTCACACATTCCTGGTGCAAATGCAAAATGGTATAACCACTATGAAAAAC
This sequence comes from Homo sapiens, assembly GCF_000001405.40. Taxonomy (NCBI): domain Eukaryota; kingdom Metazoa; phylum Chordata; class Mammalia; order Primates; family Hominidae; genus Homo; species Homo sapiens. The sequence goes on from NW_015148967.1 coordinate 50,852, forward strand.
AAAAATGTAAGATTTACAGTAATTTTCTCTTTTCTAAGTAAATGAGGAAATTGCATATTTTTATTTAGTACTTTCCACATGGCAGCCATTGAAATAAGAGATTTACATGAAAGAAGTCAATTATTATATCTCAGTTTCTTAAGTATCATCATCATCAACTACTTAAAATGAGAAATAAAAAACTGAAGCTAAAATAACTTGTCTAAGCCCTCACAGCTAGTAAGTGGTTCATATATGATATGAATCTTCCTTTTTCTCTAAACTGTGGTGTAGTATAGGTTGCTATATTTAATCAAATTCTTGCCAGCTGCATAGATTTTCAGTCTTCTAAGGATTCAAATGCAAAAAAGAAAAAAACTATACTGCAAATTGTACATAATTTATTCTTTCTCTAGAAACTTGTAATAATAGATTTTTCCTAAATTATCCAATGCAAAATAGTAGTTTCAGAGGCAGTCAATAAGTGGTGTATGAAAAATATGTACTGTGGTCAAATACATTTGGGAAAAGTTAAGATAAAAAGCATAAAAGTTATTTCTTTATTGGAAAATGTTTAAAACTTTTATTTTGCCAAATAATATGTACATTTCTGAAACAATGTACAGTAGTAAACAATACCTATATGTATTTTAATACAGAAAACTTTTTTCGTATAATAATTTGCAGGACTAACTTAGAGTTAATTAGAATATCTTCAACAGTTTGCTCTAAATCATAATTATAATAATGATTAAAGTTGCACTATTAAGGCTTAGATTTTAAAAGGTTATTTAACAAAAACCAAAAATGTCTAGTTCCAAACATGGAGGGTAATGCTTAATAAGAATGAGTATTTAACAAATAAGTAAAGCTGTCCATGAAGAAGAAATTCTTCAAAAAGTAAACAAACAAAAAACATTATTTAAGCATGATCCTTTGTTGTGAAGATTAGGCTATAATGGGATAATTTGCTATAGATAATTCTGAGGAAATATATTTTATTTTTTATTTTTGTTTACAATATGGAAAGCAAATATTACAAAAAATAAAGATGCCTTTAATCTGAGCATCATCTAACAAGATTTAAGATAAAGTATAAATCATAAAAAGAAATGTCTGTAATTCAACAAATATAAATATATGTATTTTTTCTACCTTTATTATAATGGGCAATTTTCTACTTTTATAACATAGAACACAAAATTTGGATCAATATTTCAAAGGTTATTTCTTACTTGTTGTATATGTCCACTATGGGTTGGTGGGAAGACCCCATTTATAATGGTTTTTCAGTGACTCAGTATGACAAAGACTTCATTTCTACACAAATAACATTTCTACAACAAGGAAAGAAAAGTTGGAATTTGACACCATCAATCAATTCCTTTAACTTTCGATTGACTTATGAGACTTAGTTTAATTTCATGGGCTAAAACAAATCTAGCATTCTTTTCTATCTTAAAGTGGTAGTAAATTCCAACCTAATAATTTGCCTGTAAGAAGAAGAATCACAGTATATGTGGATAGCCCTAATAATCATGATCAATAGTTATTTGAAACTATTTTATAAAAGTTTTAATATGTCATTTCAATTTTAACTTTTTAAAGAATTTAATAATAAAGTGATACATAGATTTTTCAAAGGTTCCACTACAGATTGGTTTATAAGAAGATGAAAGAGAGATACAATATCTTGAATTTAGTAAGATTAGATTTTGAGTTCAGTGTGAAGGATATATTTGAGGAAATAGATATATAATGTTGAAAACTAATATTAAGTCACAGTGGAGTTATTTGGTTACTACTTTTAAATACTTATCTTACATGTATCTCTATTTTGCATCCATAGCATGTCAAATGTAGTTCCACCCTATTTAGGGCAATAGGTAAAACTAATGAGAGTATACAATGGTGGAATATCCTCAATCATGTTGGAGTGTATTAGTATATAAGAAACAGAAAGCAATTCTTAGCCCATGCTGGAAGCCTTTATTTAAGGTGTGTAATCTCTTTGGCAAAGCATAACTGAAGTTAAAAATTTGTGTAAACAAGGCATTCAAGAAAATTACTTTTATTTAGCTTAGTCATTAAAGAATGAGTGTGTATGTAATACATGCAGAGAAATTTTAGAAGGTAAGAAATGTCCTAACAGAATATAAACCCTTAGAGACCTTGCAATGTATTCTACACAGTGATGTAGCTGCAGCAACTATAAAAGTTCCTGTCCAGGTACTTTATAAATGTATATAGGTTGCACTGATAAGTGAATGAAAAAAATAGACAAAATATTGAGGACAAAGTTAAGCAACGTTTAATCTTTTTAAATTTTTATGGATGCATAATTTTGCATACTTATGGAGTATGTGCAATATTTTGATATTATACAAGCATAGAATTTGTAATAATCAACTCAGGGTAATTGGATATCCATCACCTGAAGCAGTTATCATTTCTTTGTGTTAGGAACATTTTAATTCCACTCTTTTAGTTATTTTGAAATATACAGTAAGTTATTGTTAATGATACTTATCATATAGTGCTACCAAACACTATATCTTATTCCATCTATCTAATTGTATTTTTGTACCCATTGATCATCCTTTCTTAAAGCCTTTTTCAAGTGCACCAGGGAGGTTTCATTATAGGTTAGAACTGTCTGTTTGCTGCAGTTGTTAAAAAATAAAAATATCAGCCACGGTTTGGATACTTGACATTTAGGTTTAGTAGTGTCTAATCAAAAATTTTTGGAGAGTTACAATAAAACCCTGACAAAGGTTTAAAATTACTGTCTTTTTTGGTTTGGAGATAATATGAGAAAGACAACTGACACATGCTTGTGATTCTTTATCTAGCCATTGCTTACTCACTACAGCTATATTATTATAACGGTGGTAGGTAAATTATTTTAATTGTAGTAAAAAAGTTAAAGACAAAAGTATTAAAAATAATGATAACTGAAATATGTTTAAAGACACAATACGACTAGGTATAAATTATGACAACAATAATATAATGTTTATGAGGGTGTTAAAGTGTAGAGTTTTATAAGTGATAGTGATTGAATTTAAGTTGTTATCAGCTTAAAATATAATGTTATAACATATGTGATGTAGACCCCAAGGTCACCACACACATTAAAGAAAAAAATACATATACCTATAGAAGTTACAAAAAAGTCAAAGGAAGGAATCAAAGTTTATCACTGAAAACAAATCAACAAAACACACATGAAGACAGTGGAAAAGGAAGAAACAAAAGGACTGCAAGACTAACAAAACAAATCACAAAATGGCAGTAGGAAATCTTCCCTTACTAAGTTATTTTGAATGTAAATGAATTAAACTCTAATCAAAACATACAGAGTGACCAAATGAATATTTAAAATAGACCTATCTAAATGCTGTCTACAAAAATCTCTCTTTAGACACATGCAGGCTGAAGGTAAGTGGATGAAAAAAAGATACTCCATGCAAATGGGAACAAAAAGAAAGCAGGGACAGCTATACTTATATCAGACAAAATAGACTTCAAGTCAAAAACAGAAGCAAAATACAAAAAAGGACAGTGTATAACGATAAAAGAGTTGCCAGGAAAATATAACAATTATAAATATATGTGCACCCACCATCATAGCACCTAAGTATGTTCAGCAAACATCAATAAACAGAGTCATGCAATAAGAGTGGAATAATTCAATACCGCACACTCAGGAATGGGTAGTAACCACACAAAAAATCAGTAGATGACTTGAACAACACTATCAACTAACTGGACCTAACAGATATATACTAAATATTCTACCTAAGAGCAGCAGAACACACATTCTTCACCAGTGCACATAGAATTTTTTTCATGACAAATTATGTTAGGTTAGAAAATAAGTCTTAATAATTCATTAAGACTGAAATTATACCAAGTCTTTTCTGATCACAATAGAATTTTAGAAAGAAAACTGGAAATTCCCAAATAGGTAGTAATTGAACAACACACTGTAACAACCACTGGGTAAGAGAAAAAAGAAATTAGAAAAATGCTTCAAGAAAAACAAAAACACAACACAGTAAAACTAATGAGATGCACCAACTAAGTATTACAAGAAAGTTTATTGAGATAAATACCTGCATTAAAAAAAGGAAATAGATCAACTAGATAATCAAATTGCACATTTCAAGGAACAAGAACAAAAAAGAACAAACAAAGCCCAAAGTTAGCATAAGGAAGAAAATAACAAAGATTCAAACAGAAATAAGTAAAATAGAAACGCAAAAGGTAGAAAAAAATTAATGAAATTGGGTCTTGGCTTTTTGAAAAAATAAAGGAAACTGGCACATACTTAGATTTAAAAAGATTTGCCAAATAATTTCCATGAATTTCATGTAATTATCTGTTAATTTTTACAGAAAAATCTAAATTTACGGAAAAAAAATTAACAGATAATTACGTCTACAGGGCATAAACACAAATCAGAATTTCACCATCTCTAGGAACACATAAGAAAACGATGAGGATAGTTGTCACATTGTCTGGCAAAGCTCAGGGAAAGAGTAAAATACAATCATAAAACTATCAAAAAAAGATATCCAGGATAGAAAATGGGCAAAAAATAAAAAAGACAATTTTTAAAGAGAGTTAAAAGGGATTAAGGAGAAAATGAGACATAAAAAAAGAGAAGCAAAAAATAGTCAAAAGAAACACAGAAAATAAAATACAGGTGAAAGAAAGAAAACATTTTATCCATTTTTTAAAAAAGGCTAGTAAGTGATATGCAGAAAACAGTAGAAGTGAAACATAGATAAGGAGAGCTAACATTTGTATAAGTATATTCCCATGGAATAAAACAGAAATAATAAAACAAAACTAATAGGTTTAAAAAGTTTATATAGTAATCCTCCCTTATGCAGGTTTTCAGTTGCAACCACGGTTTGAACATATTACATAGAAAGTTCCAGAAATAAACAAGGTGTAAGTTTTAAATTACCTACTGTTCTGAGTAGCATGATGAAATCTTCCACTGTCCTGCACCATCCTACCCAGAGCATAAATCATCCCTTAGTTCAAGGTACCTATGCCTACCTGCCCATTAGTCCCTGAGTGGCTGTCTCAGATCATCTCAGTGGCAGTCAAATCTTATCAGATTGACCCTGGCATATTACAGTGCATGTGTTCAAGTAAATCTCACTTGGTTTAAAAATAGTCCCAAAGCACAAGAGTAGCGATGCTGGTAATTTGGCTATGCCAAAAGGAAGCTGTAAAGTGATTTTTAAAGGGAAAATGTCAAAGTTATCTACTTTATAAGAAAAAAATAAATTGTATGTTTAGGTTGCTAAGATTTATGTTAAGAATGAATCTTCTATTTGGAGATGGTGAATAAGGAAAAAAATAAATTTGTACTAGTTTTCTTAAACTGCAAAAGTTATGGCTACAGTACATGATAGTTAAGATGGAAAAGGCATGTATATAGGGCTTAGTGCTATCTGCAGTTTAAGCATCTACTGGGGGTCTTGGAAAGTATTCCCTGCAGATGAGATGGAACTACTGTAATCCAAAAAAAGACTTGAATCTGCATCTTGAAAAGATGGTGTCATGTCCCAGAGGAAAAAAAATGGTCCCAGACTGTCAACACTGAAGGTATCTCAGTAAGTTTACTTGATATCAAACATGAATTCTTATTCAGAAAATGCTTTAGACAGCCAGGCCAAAAAAAAAAAAAAAAAAGAGAGAGAGAGAGAAGAAAAGAAAAAATACAAGTTTTTTATATTGAAATTAACAAGAGGGGAAAAAGCCAATCTTGGAATTCTTTTGTAGAGCCTTTACTGCTAGATTAAAATGGAAAAATACCTTCAAAGTGCTCAAGGGAAGGAATTATGACCAAAAGAATTTATATTGAGTTAAATAATCTTTTAAGAATAAAAGCAATAAAAGGTTTTGAATACACAAGAAATATTTTCATGAACTGTTTCTGATCTAAGTAGAAAAGGTCAACACGAGTCAATCAAAAATGACTAGAAAAACCGCTAGAGTAGGAAGGAATTTATACATTTATCTGTAGATGTAAGATTCAAACTAATGTGAGGTTTCGGGTGAAGAAATAGAAGGTATGTACTTAATGCCTAAATATAGAAATGATATAAACACCAAGGTTTGAGGAAAGAGGGTAAGAAATCAGGAAGTATGTGGAATACTGACTTTTCTAATAATTACCAATATCCAAAAAAGATGGAGTTCATGAACATTTCTCAAATCCATAAATGTGAGTAAGATAATTTTAAAAAAGAAAACTTTTCAGATATTACAAAACCATCCTAAATCTTTGCTATATACGAGATAAACCTGACGCAAAGTGATTCATATAATTTTTTAATGTGCAGAGATATAGACAATTTAAACATAAAGAAGCAGAGTTTACTGTATCAATAAGAAACAAGTATATATTTAGGCCAAAACTATTAACTGAGACAAATCAGAGATCTTTATAACATTAATGGGTACCAATAACATTGAAGACAAAATAGTAATGGCTATATATCACATAAGAGCTTCGATATACACAGATACATTTGTAGGAAATACAAGGAAAAATGGAAACACATTAATGAAGAATATTTAATTTTACTTATCTAGGTCATTGACAGAATATTTAAAGACATAAAATATATAGTTCTAGTAAATGATGGAGCTAGATTTAAACTTATCATCACTGGCTCTAGAAACTAAGCTTTTTACCAGCATACAACAGTGTGATACTACAGTGCCCCTTGGCTGATGCAAGTGAACATAAATTTATATATTTGGAGGTGAAATAAAAAATATCTCCTCTGACTAAAACAAGAAACACATGAAAATAAGGGGTCTTGGAGATTTAAAAAGGAAAGAGAATAAAATAATTTTCTCCAAAAGAGACTGTAGTATAAGGACAGTTACTGTGATTGGCAATAGTGCTAAGAGCCTACTTCAGATCAATTGGGGTGACACCAGAGTACTAGATGTCTCCAGGAATCCAGCAGAAAGTGAGTGTATCCAGGACCCAACAAGCTCCTCACATTATTACTGCATCTACCTTACAGCTCCATAATTATGGGATACCTCATCAACCTCCTTCTTGAGCTTCCCTCTACTCTATTGCTCTCTTTAAACTGTTTTGCCCTGCCTAATTTGCACATAAGCCATTCATCGCTATCGACTTCCTGTGTTATGTGACTCCCCAGTATAGGCATCCAAATAAAACTGATTAGAGTTTTCATGATGCTACTCCAGATTCCAGGGCTTAGTTTATGTCATGAGGTCACATTTATTTCATGCTGATCTGGTAGGAGACAGGGCAGGATTAGGTTATAAAAACTGGCTGCAATTGAGGACTCTCAAAAGTCTAGTGTAGGTGTTGACCCCATTTTACAAATATGGTAATTTAAATCATTATTAAAGTTAATTTAAAAATTATACCCAAAGTATTAATTGATATGTCCATGTTTCAATGATGCCATCACAATATTTTTGTTTAAATGCACCTTGCAAAACAAAAGCTGATAGCAAATGTCTTTTTACCCAAAACAGTTCATTGAATTTTTTATCCATAAGAATGTAACAGTTATAATTTTAAAAATCCAACAGAAATCATGGTTCGTTGGGGGTAGGCATGACTGGGAATGAGAGAGTTCATGTACCTGAGTGCATATGATTCTCCTTAGGCCAATATGTTATAGCACTCTTCTACTCCTCCTAGGAATTAGCGATCTAGTTAAACTGAAACAAAAAAGAAATGGGGGGAGGTTCCACCAAATATTCTCAAGTATAATGTTATACTTGTGCTTTTATAATTTTAGTCTATGTATATTTGTCTAAAATACAAAGAAAAATAAAAATTTTTTTGTTCAAAAAGAATGATTGTAAAGCCAATTAAAGAAGCTTTCTAGACATCTCTGCTACTAATCCCTTATACTTCTAACATAACAGAAATAACATGGTACTTAATTTTCTTTAGAAAAATCAATTCATATATTAATAGACACACAGAAAAATTGAATGATATCACTTAGAGGATCACAAGAAAAACATTTCAGACACAAGGTATTTATTTCTATTTATTGTAAAACTGCTTTAGTATGAGATCCCCCATCTAAAATCATTTTAATTGAACCAAGTAAAGGCTGGCCATATTAGCAGCAGGGAGAGACCATGTTGATTTTATGGCATCCATGAGAACAAAGATAGGAGATGGAGCATTTAATTAGAATGCAAAATCCTTTTGCTCCTGGTGCAAAAATGTACATGGTCAAAAACCTTATAAAATGGAAAAATATTAGTATTCTCTCAACAAACAAAGTAGACACTATTTTTTCTTTACACTTTCCTGAATATTTCCTACTGAGTTTTTCTCAATAGTATTTTTCTGTAAACAAAATATCTGTTGGATATTGAACAATAACTACCAGGTCAGAATCAAAAGGAAAAAGTCATGAGTATACTTGTAGATTTAGATGGAGTCGAAAATGTGACAATGAATGAAACTGTCCAGATAGAGCAAATATAGAAAAATAAAAGCAAACAATGACACTTAGAGAAATGTATACTTAAGAGTTCAACGAAAGAAAAATGCCTTGGAAAGACATGCATTTATCATACTTAAACAAATAGAAAGAAAGTGTTGTAGTAAATCATATGTTTGATTGTCTGATACAGACAAAAAATGTGGCAGAAAAAAAGCCATTTAAAAGCCAAATAAGTTTTGCTTTATACACAACTTGACAATTTCAAAGTCAAATATGTATAAAGGCATCATACCATGTTAATTAATCATAAGTAAATAAATAAGTGGAAAAATTATCATGAAGCATAAACTTGAAAAAAGTTCGTATGCTTTCTGGGAAATCAGTAACTTAAAACATGATAGAAACCCTATCAATAAGTAGTCTAACTTATAATTAGCCTCAGATGTCTACATGATTTGGAAATATATACCCATTTTTTTCATTAGATTAGGAATCTCTAAAGATAAAAACTTAGAAAACTAACTTGAGCTTTCACTTAGTAATTAATGGTAGTAGGAAAAATTAAATGTAGAAAATTTTTAGAAATAGAATCAAATGCATTTAAAATGTAAAATCTGTTATGAATAAAATATTATGGTAAAGCTAATTATTTGTAGATTTTTGTCTATAATAGTTTATTCAATCAGAAAACATCACATTTTTAAGAGAAAATAACTTTTTCATTTAAAACAGGAAACAAGGAAAATAATAAATAATTTTAACTATATTATATATTTATCATTTATATTTTTACTCCGAGATATGTTAAACAAGTAAGGTAATTTATATCTAAAATAAGTAATCTAATCTTATCAGGCTAGAGTATAACATTATGCATAACCTTAATATACTTTCATAACAAACTTTTAAAAATTTGTTTTGTGTGCTGTATTCTTAGCTTTTAAAAATGACTTTTATAAATACCGACAGAGTAAATTAATTTGAACATTAGTTGGTTTTGAAACACACATTCATAATGTGAATAGAGATTCTAGGAAAATGAGTACCATCTTCACTCTTTGAGAGTGCACAATCACAAAAAGTAACCCCCAAAACAAACCATATGTACATGAACTAGTTAATGGATGAAGAAAATTTGGTATGTACAAAGAATGGGATGCTATTGGGCAAAGAAATGATGCTACAGTATGATGATCCTAAAAACATTATGCTAAGCAAAAGAAGCAAGACACAGAAGACTACATATTGCATGATTCTATTTATGTGAAACGTCCAAAAAAGCAAAGATAGAGAGAAAAAAAGGAGACTAGTGGTTGCCTTGGGTGACAAATGAGAGGACTATAAGTGGACATGTGGATTCTTTCTGGGATGATGAAAATATTCTAAACCTGGATTGCGGTGATAGTTGTACACAATATAAATTTGCCAAAAGTTGTTGACTTATATGCTTAAAGAATTCTATGGTATATAAATTATACCTCAACACAGCTATTTAAAGGAAGGTGCATTATATACACATTTATACTTTTCAGATATTAATAAAAAATGGAAAACTTTGTTTGTTGCCTCACCGAAGAGTAATTTCATAGCAAAACACAAATCCCCATTCTTAGTTTGCCTTAATTTCAAGTATCATATATAATACACAATAGTAGATTTAAAATAATATGAGAAATTGTTTTATACTGGCTGATTATGTTCACATATCATTGAAAAGAAAGGATAGTTACAAATACCATGTAGTTACTACCTGCAACATATTTTCTAATAATATTATTTAACATATGCATTTAATTATATAGTCTATACATCCTTCCAAGCCTCTAAAAGTAGCTCCTAAACAACCATTAGGCTTTGTCATCCTATAAATATTCTTATAACTGTAAAACATTTGGAAGACTGAGTAACTATTTCAAGTAAATCTAAAGCTAAATATAATGCAATACTTAAAACTTTCTACAAAATTTAAGGTCCAATATATATTCATTCAAGCTTTAAAATTTCATACAATCTTAGGAGTATTCTATATTTTTTGTTTTCCTCATCTTATTTCAAACAAAAAAAATCAAGTGTATTCATAACTTAGAAATGATTTCAGTGACCTATAGCAAAAAGACTAAGAACTGCAATAATGGTTTTGACATTAATAATGTTTTGGAGGCATAAGTGTTTTGTTCTTTTGTTTCTTTTATAATTGTTGTTACTTATACTGGAGAAAGAAAATTGATCATTTTCTTTTCTGACTTGTCTCTTACATTACAGAGCTTGAAAAGACCTTAAGGTAACATTTCAACAGCAACCTCACAATAACTTGACTATTTTATTTGTTTTTCTTACCCAAAGACAGCAGTACTAGATAAAATGAAGGGAAATTACAAGGCATGTTTACATACATATCGATGTTTTTTTTACATTTATATAATAAAAAATGCATTGCTGGATATATTTTAGAAGTATCCTTAATAAACAAAAGAAAATGGTTTGTTACTGAATTTTACCTCATGAACATATAGGGTAAAATTCCTGTGTAAGAACAATGCAAGTATATACACATATGTCCATGTCTATATCTATGTTGGGTTGCCTATTAATGACTGGAACTGCCTGCCCATGTTTGAGCTTGAGCCTGAGTCTCACTGTCCCTCTTGTCAGTCCATCCATCTCTTTCTGCCCCTGTATGCCCGTTTGTGCTTTTCTACCTGTCTATCCATCCATCTCTCTCTGTGGTATGTTTCACACTGTCTTTCAGTTTGCCTGCCCCTGTCATGGGGTCTGACTATTCCTATCCCATTTTTAATTTCTATCTGTTATTCTGTCACCACATGTGTTTATCAGCCTGTCTCTGTTTCGGTACCTGTAAGGCTGTATGTATTGGTCTCTAAGTATGTATTTATCTGTTTAAGTGTCTGTCTATCCATGACTCTATGTGTACATATGTGAAGATTTTTCCTTTAATGTAGATTTAGTGAATACTATCTTTAAAAATCATTATTGTTTCTTAAGAGATGAGTGTGTATAGTATTGTTTGTGTGTGTATCTATCTCCCAAGCAACTGCCAACTCTATAGGTCCAATCTACATAATGGTAGGACCTAGAGATTACTCATGTTTTTCGAAAGTCAGCTTCTCTTAGCCTATTTAAGACCATGCTCTATTGCATTCTGCCTCTATATTACAAGATGGCTCCTAATGAAACAAACAAACAAACAAACAAACAAACAAACTTGTCACAGGTAGACGTGGATATCTACACCTCAGGCCTCTGCTTTCTAGTTACCCTCCTCCTAAAGAGGAGCTGTGAAGGTTTTATGTGCAATTGTAGCCCCACTCTACATTTCCAAAGAACCTCTACCTCATGGCCTATGTGGGCATTTACTAAAGGTTTAAAGATAACTAGAAGGAGTTTTAAAATAAAAACAAGACATGAAACAAATGCTAAATACAACTGATCTCAAGGTCAAAGGAGAACATATAATAACTCAAATGCTCAGAAAGTTATTTTATGGGCATTTCTCCTTTTCCAACTTGATTTTCAAGATCCAGCCCACCCCCTGCCGACCCCCATTGGAAACCCATGAAGAGTATACCTTTTTTCAATAATTTGCCATGTTAATCTTCATTTCTACATGTAAATTCTACCTATTCTCATAAAGATATCCATTTTCCTTGAATATTCCCAACCTTGAACCCACAATGATAATCGAAAAGAAGAAAGAAAAATCCCTGGTAGATCATTTTCTAAAGCTCGAATCATTCTGGGAGGAACAATACTATGTAGAGGGAGGGTGTCAGAGAGCTACGAGATGAACCACAGGGGTGTTTAATGTTACAAATCCTATACACTTCAGGGTCTATTTGTGATGGGATAAGAAGATGCTTCTCAATATTCTTCCTGTAGACTAAAAATCTGCTTTTCAATCTCCTGCGAGTAAGGCTTGGAAAAAATACAAACACACATGACACCAATGTGTATATAAACACTCTCACATATACACATTTACATCCCTACTCATATGAACATAAAATCTTTCTAGAGATAGTAAATCTAAAGACATATTAAATAAAAATAATTTCAATGCAATGTAATGTACGTAGTTATCCAGGTGTCCAAATAAAAATAGCTAAAGAAATTTTGCTTTGGTATTGTTCTCCTGTGTCCAGGAGTCTACTAAAGACTAAGATGATAGGGCCTAATAAAAGAATTTTCTAAATAATAACAATGTTGTATTAAGGTTCTACATAGGCACAAGCATATATTTTACTTGCATGATAGATATTATAATTAAAACCTGGAATTATTAAGCCTGTTTATTTACATTGCTTGACTTGGGCAGGTGATTGACAACCTTTCTCTTTATGATGATTATATTTCTTGTATTGTATATGGGAATCTGACAATATCACAAAGATTCTGTTGTGAAAATGAGGTGATAGAAGAATAATTTATGAAGTAGATCAACTGTACTTAACATTGCATGGGGGTGCTGGCCTACTTTTCAAGGATGTTCTAACAAATTCAAATTTGGCAATAAAATATAACTCAGTTCTACAAAAAATACTGTAGGCACATCAGATGCATCACTGAACTTAAAAAGGAAAACCCAGGAATTTACACAACATCATATACTTCTTCGAAACAAAGCAGAATTACCACCTGGCAAAGATTTCCCTCAAGCATGTCCCGCCACAAAACCATTCAAGTCTACTCCCTGTGTATTAGAATATTTATAACTATTTGTCAGTTTGGCTTATTCATTATTTCTCTACATAATATGAATTATTAAACTAAGCATGGACTTATTTACTTGCAAAATTAAACACAAAATTTTTGTAACTTTCAAATTATACCATTTTGTTCTTTAGATTTTCTATAAGTCTGACGTATTTATCCATACTCATTCAGCAAAATATTTTGAAGAAAAAAAGTCCTAAAAAGATAAGTCACATACTCTATGAGAAAAGACAAACAGAAATCACATAATTAACTAGAGTAGCATCATACCTGCGATTTACCTAAACCTGTAAATAAGATTAAAATAAGCACCATATTATCTCTCCTCTTTTTCACTTACAGTGCTATGTAATAGATATTTTTCTACATTTTTATAGCTTTTCTCATAGTAAATATAAAACCGTGCCATGGTTTGAGAGCCATTATAGTATGGTGATTAAATGTGATATTGTGGGACAAAGATTCTGACCCAAACCTTAGCTAACCACGTAATCTACTTATGCTACGTAATCATGGACAGTTGCTTCATCTTTCTTGATTTCCACATTAGTAAAATGATCATAATAGCAAGTACTCTGGAAGGTTGCTAGTAGAATGGACATGAGAAAACACATGTTTAGTAATAGTCTTTACTCCACAGAATGTATTCAACATAAAAATGTTATGTTTTTTTCATATATCGTTTTAACACTGAAGCTTTTAAGTGTCCATTAACAGTGAACTTAAAATATTGAGGTAGACATTTACATCAAATTGAGATTGTCGGATGTACATTGGTAGAAGAAATTGGTCTAGTTACATTTTTTAGGCTAAAAATAACTGCTGACATTTGTATATTAGACTATCTTGTGCCATAAAACGGAAGTTTAGAAAATTTAGGAAACACCTTACCAAAGTAGGAAATTTGATCAAACTTTGAAAGGCTTTGAAAGTCCTTGGATATCCTAGGAGAGGATAAATTATGTTCCTTGGCCAAATTTGGCCTAAGAATAATTTTTAAATTTTTAACAGTGAAAGAGAGGGAGGAGAAAGAGAACACAGAATAATATGCAACAGAATCTTATGTGGCCTACAAAGTAAAAACATTTATTGTATTACTTTGCTAGGACGGCCATAACAATGTACTACAGACTGGGTGGCTTAAATAACAGAAGTTTATTTTCTTACAATTGAAAGGTTGCAAGTCTGAAATGAAGGTGTCAGCAGGGTTGTATGCTTCTGAGGCCTCACTTCTTGGCTTGTAGATGTCCGTCTTCTCCCTGTGTCTTCACACAGTCTTTCCTCTGTGTAAGTCTGTGTCCAAATTCCCTCTTCTTAGGATACCAGTCCTATTGGATGAGGGCCTACTCTAATGACTCCATTTCAATTTAATTCCCTCATTAATGAACCCATCTACAAATATAGTCACATTCTGAGATATTGGAGGTTAAGTCTTCAATATATGAAATTTAGGGAGACGCAATTCAAACCACATTTTCTGTCTGTTTTTTTGTTTGTTTGTTTTGTTTGTTTTTACAAAAAGTAGTTAGCAGCCTGTGTTCTGGAAGCCTGAGAAGGGTACACCTGACAAGGGAACCAGTAGTTTCCTAGTGCCTCCTTTACTATTTGTCTGACATTATATATAAATTGAGAGAATCACTCAATTTAGAGATTTGCTTTCCCATTACCAATTTGTTTGGCTTATTTTACTTAGCATAATGTCCTCCAGGTTCACCCATATTGTCATAAATGACCAAATTTCTTTCTTTTTTAATGCTGAATAGTATTTCATTGTGTATATATACCAGATTTTCTTTATCCATTCATTCAACGATGGATACCTAGGTTGCTTCCAAATCTTAAAATTTAAATATATCTATCTCTATCTGTCTATATACTTACAGATCTATCTATAGATAGAGATAGATAGATATAGATATAGATATAGATATAGATATAGGTCCATCTATAGATAGGTAGATAGATAATTTGCTGAGGGAAAAATGCCTCAGGGAATTAGTGGCCAAGCCAAACCATTTAATTCTAACTTTGGGTCAAAGGGGCAGGGTTTAATATTATGGAAATATTTGCCTGGAGTTAGCCATGGACAGAAGAAGAAAGTAGGTGAGCACAAATCTGTGACCACAAAGGAAGTCTGAAAATCAAAGTAAATAACAGCAAACTCAACATCGGGGTGGACCTGGATGTGGTGATGTTATGACAGAAACAACAATAACCATTAATATTTTTTACTGCTTTACAAGGCCATATAATAGTATTTTGTGACATTTTGTCATTTGATCCATATCACCAAATGAATATGATGATTACCTACTGTCTACTTCCCCCAACCACCACACACACACACACACACACACACACCCCTTTACAGATTAGGAAACACAGCTGAAATTATAACATAGGCTTTAATCTCCTTAAGCATTGGGTCAAAATATCCAAAAATAATACAAGAACTTCAATAATCTTTTTATAAATGAAGTCAGATGCCTAACATGTCTCCTCATTGGTGTGTAGGCGGGTTGTAGGTTTAAGACTGGGTTGGCACTGTCAACAGACACTGTCTCTAAAGAAAACAAAAACAAACTCAAATGGTTCATCAGCAAGTACTTGCTTTTGTGTCCACATTTTGACCTAGCTAGAATATGCTAGATACTTTCCTGTAAAGCACCTTCAAAACAATTAGTTGGTGGCTCCCTTTTGTACACAGATAAATTCAATATAACACATGTCTGCCTTTACTTTTTGTGTTAATATTTGGAAACGTACAAAATTTTGTTTCCAAAATTTTCCAAATATCAATGTGTTTCCAAATATCAATACAAAAAGTAAAGACAGACATGTGTTATGTTGAATTTATTTCCCCATATAACTCAGAATCTTAAGGAGTTTTTCTGTATATTTTAAACTTAATATGAGATGCATCTGAGGAATTCAGATGTAGAATTTTTCAGTAGTCTTGAGACCCAATAAAAACAGTTTCTAGCATAGATACTATTTTTGTAAAGATTTAAATTCACAGTTAAGGTCAACATCTGGCTGAATTTAACATTCACATTTGACAGTTTTACTCTCATTAAAAAATGTTTAGCATTTTTTCAAAGCAGAAGCTGTCTTTTATTTTAATAAAGGTCTTCATATATTTGCTTTGTTCCTTGAGGGATGGATTGGTACGCTTGAACTACTCTGTGCAGTTAGAATTTAAGGCCATATCACTAGATAATCCACGTAGCAAAATAAAATGCAAATGAAAAGGGCAAAGGGCACGGTATAATGAGCAAGAGGATTTATTGTCTTGTCTTCTATTTCCATATCCTTTGGGAAAATGTAAAAGTGGGAAATGAGGAATAGTTCTCTCTGCTTTCTCTGGCAAATTATGGTTGATAATTTAGCTATTAGATAACCGTATAGAATATGCCAAGTGATTTCCCAAACTAGTCACTTTTCAATTTTATCTATGTGTAAGTATCCACAGGTTCTTTAATTGCAAACAGTACTCACATGCTCAATGCATTATTTTTATTACTGAAACTGCAAAATAGACATGTGATAATATACATTTACACAGCCAAAACCCCCCTCCACACACACACACAAACACACACACAAACATCATTAAAGAGTCAAATTAATTTCAACTAGAACATCCTTATGGGAAAATATGTGAGAAAATATATGCAAAAATATGTACCATTTATTGAGCATATGCGGTGCACAAACTACGTATTTATTATTTAATTCATGTGATCCCACTCCCAACAAGAATCTAAAATGTAGATACCACTAGTGCCATTATACATATAATGAGACAGAGGTGTATAGAGATCAATTAAACAAACTAGCTTAACGGATTTAAACTTAGTTTGTCTTATCACCAATCCTATTTTCTGTCTACTATAACACTTTGACATGTGAAATATAGTTAAAGGAGAATTTGAAAACAACTTGATGAACAGTCTGGAATCCTCTGTAAAGATAAATTCAAGTCATTGACTGAATATAGGATGTTTCATACCTATAATGCACATAAGCAGCAACTAAAGAGTCAGGCTTCATTTCCTCCCTCTGTGTGTACCAATTAGAGGTCCTGAAATATTAATAAACTGGCTGATTTAGGAGAGAATACCATTACATTTTTTTTTGTCCTACATGTTGCTTGGAAGCAACAAACATATCATGGGCACTCAGTAAATGTTATTTAACGACAACTAATAAAATGAAATTATGGTAATATATTTTGTAATGAACTCACCATAAGATGAGGCAAAGTAAGTTTTAGTACTAAACCTGGAAGTTGAGCAGATTTCAATGGCTGGGTAGGTGAATGAATCCTATGGGGAGGCAAGAGACACTAACATGATTGTGGTAGAGAATGTTAATAAGAGGTCAGATATATAAAATTTTTATTGCACTTTGACAATTGGAGCTGCCCCTCCTGATTTTCATATATGTTATATTCATCTAACATTCAAAAGGCAAATTAAAGAATATATTGCTAAACTTCTATTCTAGCTCCTCCATACCCAAACATGAAGTGACTATTTCATTATCCATTGGTATCATCATTGGTATGATTTTGGAAGAACATGAAATATGTTCCCTGAAATGCTTTCTTTTTTTCCTACTTGTGCCTCCTTTAGCACATTGTTTGAGATTTTCGGAAGAGTCAGTTGTAATTTTTAAAAATAGAAAAGAGAGAGAGAGGATGTTAAATCACTGTATCCTCTGAAAGTCATAAGCCATCGAATTGTAAAACTCTAAGACATTCAGGAGTGTATGTAGTTTCAGAGAGTGCACTTCTGTAGGTTTAAATTAGAGCTGTGAGTTATTGGGGGAGAAACCAGACTGGGAGCAATCTCACTTTTTTAATGCTTTAAAGTGAGTGGAGGGAAAAGGTTCCACAAAGGAGAGAAAGCTTGCCAAATGGAGGAATCCGTAGGGAAATTTTAATTTAAGGCGCTGTTCCTCAATTCCTGTAAAGTTCATGAAAAAAGAAGTACTTAAAAGTCTCTTTGAGGACTTTATACTCTTTTCTCTTTTCCATTTTTTTGCCTTTTACAATCCCTGTGAGGAAAAGAGAAAATGCACTTAAAGTTACGATTTGGGTGACTCAATCCTTCCCTCTTTCCTTTGTTCTAATAGTCTTTCAAATGCTCCAAAGAAATTAGAATACACTTAACAAGTGCTCTTGTGAAGCTCAGCCACCACTTCCTCTCTTGAGCCTGTATTAACCCACTGAAGGGAACACAAACTCTGTGTTCCAGTCCATACAGCAGCAGGTACACCATGCTCCAGGTCAAATATACACCATGCTCCAGGTCAAATATACCTGCTATTCTAACCATTTTTATAGTCATTTTTAACACAGAAAAACAGCAACAATATGATAGATTTCATTGAGCCTATTCACACAATAATAAAACATTAAAAAAAGCTCAAGAGCCCTAATACTACATGTTTATAAGATCACTGTGATTACTATATGCTTCTTTTCTATTCTACACTCCCATTCTCTCTCTGATACAGAACATACACACACACACCTTTAACTTTTCAGAAACAGACACGGAAGTCACCTTTGCTGTTCTAAGATATCATAAGTATAATGGGATAAATTTCAGTTTCGAATAAGGCTTTCTCCCATTTTATCGGTTCTGTTGATATTCAGAAGTTTTTCAGTTTTTAGCATTTTGCTTTGCTAAACATTTCTTGTACTTCTATGAAAGGCATTGAGGTTTTCACTAACAGAACAAAGTTAAATAATAATTTTGTAGCATAATTAACTGAAACTGTAGCAATCAATTTTAGTAAAATCCTTTCAAACTCAAAAATAGATATCTGTAAGGCAAACAATTATATCTACATAATATTATCAAAAAGACTTATACTGAAGTTTCTTTAAATTAAATACTTTCATCATTCAAATATTTATGTATCATACGCATCCATGATACCAAAATAAATACAAGCATTTGAGACAAAGTTTGTATTTTGGAAAATATAAATAAAATACTATGATTGTTTTAAAAGATTCAAAAATACATATGGGTAAGTGAGTTTCCAAAGTACATATTTTTCTTCATTATATATTGCAGCTACAAAAGGAAAATCCTCAAGAGAATTAATATGAACTTATGATAATGCAGCCTGCAGCACGGTTTTGTTGTGATTTTTTCTGTTTTTGCTGACAATGCAATTCAAACTATATTCTACTAATCTTCAGTAAAGGGAGCAGATTATTTCACCTATAAACATGCAGCAATAAAGTGTCATTCTTCAGTCCATACAGACTACTTAACATCTTTCTCTTTTTACAGGTTTGGATCCCTAGCTCATTAGACTATTACCTGATAAAGAAGAGAGGGTAATGAATTGAGAAAATAACTACGTACCTTCAGAGAAAACCTGCCCGATAACAATAATCCATTAGAAAACTGGCAATATCCTCTGATCTATTGCCCGCAAAGCCATGACTTGATGGAGAGTTTCATTCCCTGGGCTCAGTTCTCCAGAAGAAAATCAGCACAATTTAAATATTTCTTGGAATGTGACAGCTCTCTAGATCCCGGGTTGCATTCTGTTCCCCAGGGATGGCAATCTGGTGTTCCTGTGTGCATAGAGCAGTGAAGATGAATTGAAAACGCTTGAGATAAATTAGGAATGGCTAAGTTAAAATTGTCTCTGCTCCAGACTCTCTCATCTGCAGTCTGCAAGCCTGTTTTTCTGTGAAAAAGCTAGATGGCAGGCTGCCTCAGTAAGTTCTTCTTAAGCGACAGAGAGCATTTTCAATGAAGAAAAATTCTCCCATTATCTAAGCTAATGTGACTGCTACTAAATCTAGTTTTTAAAGTGTCTGCTGGCATGAAATTCATTTTCACTATTGCTTTCTTTCAAACTAGTCTAGAATCCACACTATCAGGCTATATACAGTTCTATCTGACAGAAATATTTGAAGTTTTCTCTTTACAAATTAAATCATATCTCTTTTTTTTCAGTTTATTAATCATCTATGTATAGGAAATTTTCTCTTTGGGTCCAAAAGACAGTTTATTGTATTTTATATTATGCAGAAGATTTTAAGTTGCAGTACCTCAATATGAATTCTTGCATTTTTATTACCAATCACTTATTTTAATGCAGATTCACAGAGAAGAGTTATCATTTTTAGATGTCAGTCAAAATGCAGAAGTTATATAGAAATAGAAAAGAGGAATTTCTAATCATAATATGTGACCACAGAAGTGAATATTAACTCTTTGAATATCCTCTTCAAGAAAATATGATGTTCCAAATAAAACTAAGGTTCATAAATCATTTCTCTTCTAAATAAAAATGAGCCATTTTGAGTTCTGTTGATTTCATTTCAGTGACATGTTGTGATATGACAGTTTTTTCTTTTCTTTTTTTTTTTTTTTTTTTTTTTGAGACGGAGTCTCGCTCTGTCGCCCAGGCTGGAGTGCAGTGGCGCGATCTCGGCTCACTGCAAGCTCCGCCTCCCGGGTACACGCCATTCTCCTGCCTCAGCCTCCCGAGTAGCTGGGACTACAGGCGCCCGCTACCACGCCCGGCTAATTTTTTGTATTTTAGTAGAGACGGGGTTTCACCGTGTTAGCCAGGATGGTCTCGATCTCCTGACCTTGTGATCCGCCCGCCTCAGCCTCCCAAAGTGCTGGGATTACAGGCGTGAGCCACCGCGCCCGGCCGATATGACAGTTTTTTCTCTAAGTTAGAAAATTCTTTTAGCATTTTCATAATATTCTGGATTTGAGATATAACACAAATACACTGTAATAGATGTATTGGCAATACACAAACACTGAAAGTTTATCAAAATGTTTTATTCTACTTCTTCACTTGTATTTGTTACACAAAACGATTTTCACATAATCAAAAAGCACACTTAAAAGCATCATAGTCCATGAGAATATGTACATTAAAAAATCCCTGCTGGCTATAAAAACAATCTCATGCTTGCCATAGCTTTCAACATGATGATCTGTAATGCTCTATGTCTATTTGACATTTAAGCAAATTGTTGCTTCCATGACAAAAATGGGGTTTCCACACTGTGAGAGAAACAAAAACAATATAATCACCTGACAGTCAACAAAAAAGTAAACAAGAATTTCCCTTTTTTCTCTACCCACCCTATAACTGTAGCTGACCACTTCACTCAAGGAGGTACAGAGGAAAAGAAAATGGAGAAACAAAACGAAACGCCACAGCAAGATGCCTCCAATCCTTCTACCTCTTGAGAAGTAGCATCACTGTAGCTATTTCTGAATAAACACAAGGAGATTGGAAAGAAGCAGCTTCAGTATTTCAGTTGGAAACTAAAATTATCCAGCATATTTTAAAAGACCATTAAAGAAAGAAAGGAAGCAAGCAAGCAAAACTATTTATTGGCCTCAAATGCTATTTCTAAAATGTCCATGGTGTTCAGCGCCTATGATATTAAAAACAAAAATGTAAAAAGATAAAAGTCTATTTAATAATTGACAGTTGACTGAATATCTAACTGCATTGCACTAATGTGCATTGAGTACCTCAATTAACATAATAAGTAACTACAGCAGTAATGAGTTTTTTTTTTTTTTTTTGATGTCTCAGATGTCTATCTCCACCTAGAATCTACCAATTTTACTAACACTATATTGCAATGATGATTACCCATTGGTGAATTCAGGACCACATGCAATTACATTAGAGTGATAGGTAAACTATTCTTGGAGCATAAAAAATTGTTTTTGTAGGAAGTAACTTTTTAAAATAGACCAAGTAAGCCTTAGTTAAAAGGATGAGAAATATTTCTAGGCAGTGGGAACAAAATCCCAAGGGAAATATACGTATTACATTTGCATAAGTGAAAGCAGCTCAGTATGGCTTGGTTGCAGAGTGAGGTATGAAGGACATGGAAAGAGAAGAGTCTGGGGAGAAAATGAGTCTTTTATACTTTCTTAATGAGATTGGGCTTTATCTTTGAATTGGAAATCACTGAGAGCTCTTAAATAGAGAATTTTAGAAAGATCAATTTTTATGCCATGCTCCAGTTAAAAAGCATCACCACATACCTAGTTAGCCAAGCCAGATGCCTAGTAGTTATACTATTTCTCTCATTATTTCTAGCTTTCATCATCTCTTACTTATATGATGGCCAGAATCTTTTATTTCATCTTTCTATTTTGAGTCATTTTCTCCATCAATTCTAACATAGCTGCCAGTTCTCTCTCTAAAATATGCATAATCATGCTCTTGCTCACAACAGTTTATTTACTCATTATCACCTGGAAATTAATGTTCCCAATCCTTAAAATGATCTGCAAGATCTGACTGTATAACTTTTTAAATTGATACTTCATAAGAAAACTAGTAAGCCACATTATTAAATTTTACCATAAATTTATAGAATGTTGTTTTCATTCTGCTTCCTTCTTTCTTTACTCCAACTATGTACTATTTTTTCCCCAAAAGATCATAAAACTATCTTACTAACTTTTAGAAAAACACTTCAAATATTTCGTCAATTAATGTACATTCCCATTTCATATTATCTTCAATTAACTTCATGCAAGACCTAAGTTGTAAAAAGGGATTGCATTTCATTTTCATTGTGTAGTTGTGGTATAGGTCTACATATAATATACATATATATATTAAAATATATTTATGTTCTGTTATTACTAAACTCACAGATCTCTGCAAGTTCTTTTGTAAAATACTTTTTCAAATTGCAGTTTCAACTAAAATATTGAAAGTCTTAATAGTACAACACAATTAATTTTATCACTCAATTTAAATAGCAATAATAAATAAAATTTACTTATTTATTCATTATATATAATTTTAGAAAATTATTTACTCTTGGGGTGATTTTATAGTAGCTGTAGCAGTACAAAAATTTGGCTTGCTTTGTAACAAAATCACTTCATCATGTATACATTTCTTTATTTTTAATAACATTGTCTTTAAAAATTATTGGGGAGACTGACTTGACTACATGAGGAGGAATTGCAACGTTGCCAAATTAAGGAATAATAAGACAAACATCGACATGGCATCCTGCTCATAAATAAAATTGATGTAAGTCTAGAAGATACGAAATATTTACGACAGTTTTAATAAAGGTAGTTTATGTAGAACATCTTTGTAAACTGAAAGCATTGCATGAAGAGGAGTATAGACTTACATTAAATATAAGAATATACTTAATCAAGGAGTTGAAAGACTTGTATGCTGAAAGCTATAAAACATTACCGAAATAATTTTAAAAAGACACAGTACATGGAAAGATAACCCACGTACATGGATTCCAAAACTTAATGTTGTTAAGATGTTAGTACTAAACAAAGCAATCCACAGATTCAATGCACCACTATCAAAATACCACTGGTGTTTTCTGCAGAAATATAAAAAAAAAATCCATACAGATTCTTAAGGGATCTCAAATAGCTGAAACAATCTTGGAAAACAAATTCAAAGTTGGAGATGTCACACTTCCTCATTTAAAACATTAATACAATTCTACAGCAATCAAAACTGTGTGATACTGGCATAAATACTGACATGTAAAACAATAGGATAGAATAGAGAGCCCCCCCCCGCCCAAAACACTTGCATACTGATACTCCTCAACTTATGATGGGGTTACATCTCAATAAATCTATTGTTAAGTTGAAAATACTGTAAGTCAAAAATGCATTTAATATACCTACCTTATTGAACATTGCAGCTTAGCCTACCATAACATGCTCAGAACACTTATCAAAACCCCAATGCTCGGGACACTTACATTAGCGTAGAGTTAAACAAAATCATCTAACTCAAAGCCTATTTTATAATAAAGTGTTTAGTATCTCATGTAATTTATTGAACACTATACTGAAATTGAAAAACCAGTAGTTGGGAACTCAAAGTACAGTTCCTCTTGAATGCATATTGATTTTGTACCTTCACAGAGTCACAAAATTGTAAGTCTGAATATTGTAAGTCAGGGGTAATTTGTATATGGTCAAATGATTTTCAACAAGAATACCAAGACTTCAACCAAAAAAGGACAGTCTTTTCAAAAATGGTATTGGGAGTACTGGATATTTGCATCTGAAAGAACAAAGTTGGACATCATATCATATATAAAAGTTAACTCAAAATGCATCAAAGACCGCAATGTAACAGCTACAACTATAAAACTCTTAGAGGAAAACAGGAAACACTTTTCCTGAAATTTGATTTGACAATGATTTCTTGGATATGACACCAAAATTATATTCAAGAAAAAAAGATATATTGAATTACATCAAAATTAAAAACTTCTTTGCACCTAAAGACACAATCAACACAGTAAAAAAGGCAACTCAGAATAGGAGAAAACATATGCCATCATGTCTCTGATAAGAGGTTAATATTCAGAATATATGAACTCAACGCCAGAAACAAAACAACCAGATTAAGAAATGGGCAAAGGTCTTTGGATATTTCTTCAGACAGATACACAAATGGCTAATAAGCACATTAAAATATACTCTCTATTACTAATTATTGCGGAAATGAAAATCAAAACCACATTGAGATGTTACTGCATATGTATTAGGATGAGTACAATCAGATTAGCAAAACATAGCAAGTGTTGGCAAAAATGTGGAGAGTTTTGAATCCTTGTGTAGTGTTGCTGGGAATGCTAAATATTACACATGCTATGAAAAAATGTTATGGCAGTTCCTCAAAATATTAAAAATAAAGTCAACATATGATTCAGAAATTCCACTTTTGGGTATATACCCCAAGGAAAGAAATGCAACAGAATGAGAATCAAACAGATATTTGTGTACCCATTTTCATAGCTGGATTATTCACAATAGCCAAAAGGTGCAAGCAACACAAATGCCCATCAAATAACAAATGGTGGCATATATGTGCAATGGAATGTTATTCAACATTAAAAAAGAAAGAAATTCCTGACACTTCCTACAACACAGATTGTTCTTGAAGACCATTATGCTAAGTGAAATAGGCCAGTCACAAAAAGATAAATATGCCAAGTGGACCTAATAGACATCTACAGAACTCTCCACCCCAAATCAACAGAATATACATTTTTTTCAGCACCACACCACACCTATTCCAAAATTGACCACATACTTGGAAGTAAAGCTCTCCTCAGCAAATGTAAAAGAACAGAAATTATAACAAACTATCTGTCAGACCACAGTGCAATCAAACTAGAACTCAGGATTAAGAAACTCACTCAAAACTGCTCAACTACATGGAAACTGAACAACCTGCTCCTGAATGACTACTGGGTACATAACGAAATGAAGGCAGAAATAAAGATGTTCTTTGAAACCAATGAGAACAAAGACAAACATACCAGAATCTCTGGGACACATTCAAAGCAGTGTGTAGAGGGAAATTTATAGCACTAAATGCCCACAAGAGAAAGCAGGAAAGATCCAAAATTGACACCCTAACATCACAATTAAAAGAACTAGAAAAGCAAGAGCAAACACATTCAAAAGGTAGCAGAAGGCAAGAAATAACTAAAATCAGAGCAGAACTGAAGGAAATAGAGACACAAAAACCCTTCAAAAAATTAATGAATCCAGGAGCTGGTTTTTTGAAAGGATCAACAAAATTGATAGACCGCTAGCAAGACTAATAAAGAAAAAAAGAGAGAAGAATCAAATAGACACAATAAAAAATGATAAAGGGGATATCACCACCAATCCCACAGAATTACAAACTACCATCAGAGAATACTACAAACACCTCTACGAAAATAAACTAGAAAATCTAGAAGAAATGGATAAATTCCTCGACACATACACTCTCCCAAGACTAAACCAGGAAGAAGTTGAATCTCTGAATAGACCAATAACAGGATCTGAAATTGTGGCAATAATCAATAGCTTACCAACCAAAAAGAGTCCAGGACCAGATGGATTCACAGCCAAATTCTACCAGAGGTACAAGGAGGAGCTGGTACCATTCCTTCTGAAACTATTCCAATCAATAGAAAAAGAGGGAATCCTCCCTAACTCATTTTATGAGGCCAGCATCATCCTGATACCAAAGCTGGGCAGAGACACAACCAAAAAAGAGAATTTTAGACCAATATCCTTGATGAACATTGATGCAAAAATCCTCTATAAAATACTGGCAAACCGAATCCAGCAGCACATCAAAAAGCTTATCCACCATGATCAAGTGGGCTTCATCCCTGGGATGCAAGGCTGGTTCAATATATGAAAATCAATAAATGTAATCCAGCATATAAACAGAACCAAAGACAAAAACCACATGATTATCTCAATAGATGCAGAAAAGGCCTTTGACAAAATTCAACAACCCTTCATGCTAAAAACTCTCAATAAATTAGGTATTGATGGGACGTATCTCAAAATAATAAGAGCTATCTATGACAAACCCACAGCCAATATCATACTGAATGGGCAAAAACTGGAAGCATTCCCTTTGAAAACTGGCACAAGACAGGGATGCCCTCTCTCACCACTCCTATTCAACATAGTGTTGGAAGCTCTGGCCAGGGCAATTAGGCAGGAGAAGGAAATAAAGGGTATTCAATTAGGAAAAGAGGAAATCAAATTGTCCCTGTTTGCAGATGACATGATTGTATATCTAGAAAACCCCATTGTCTCAGCCCAAAATCTCCTTAAGCTGATAAGCAACTTCAGTAAAGTCTCAGGATACAAAATCAATGTACAAAAATCACAAGCATTCTTATACACCAATAACAGACAAACAGAGAGCCAAATCATGAGTGAACTCCCATTCACAATTGCTTCAAAGAGAATAAAATACCTAGGAATCCACCTTAGAAGGGATGTGAAGGAACTCTTCAAGGAGAACTACAAACCACTGCTCAAGGAAATAAAAGAGGATACAAACAAATGGAAGAACATTCCATGCTCATGGGTAGGAAGAATCAATATCGTGAAAATGGCCATAGTGCCCAAGGTAATTTATAGATTCAATGCCAGCCCCATCAAGCTACCAATGACTTTCTTCACAGAATTGGAAAAAACTACTTTAAAGTTCATATGGAACCAAAAAAGAGCCTGCATCGCCAAGTCAATCCTAAGCCAAAAGAACAAAGCCAGAGGCATCACGCTACCTGATTTCAAACTATACTACAAGGCTACAGTAACCAAAACAGCATGGTACTGGTACCAAAACAGAGATATAGATCAATGGAACAGAACAGAGCCCTCAGAAATAACGCCACATATCTACAACTATCTGATCTTTGACAAACCTGAGAAAAACAAGCAATGGGGAAAGGATTCCCTATTTAATCAATGGTGCTGGGAAAACTGGCTAGCCATATGTAGAAAGCTGAAACTGGATCCCTTCCTTACACCTTATACAAAAATCAATTCAAGATGGATTAAAGACTTAAACGTTAGACCTAAAACCATAAAAACCCTAGAAGAAAACCTAGGCATTACCATTCAGGACATAGGCATGGGCAAGGACTTCATGTCTAAAACACCAAAAGCAATGGCAACAAAAGCCAAAATTGACAAATGGGATCTAATTAAACGAAAGAGCTTCTGCACAGCAAAAGAAACTACCATCAGAGTGAACAGGCAACCTACAAAATGGGAGAAAATTTTTGCAACCTACTCATCTGACAAAGGGCTAATATCCAGAATCTACAATGAACTCAAACAAATTTACAAGAAAAAAAAAAAACAACCCCATGAAAACGTGGGTGAAGGACATGAACAGACACTTCGCAAAAGAAGACATTTATGCAGCCAAAAAACACATGAAAAAATGCTCACCATCACTGGCCATCAGAGAAATGCAAATCAAAACCACAATGAGATATCGTCTCACACCAGGTAGAATGGCAATCATTAAAAAGTCAGGAAACAACAGGTGCTGGAGAGGATGTGGAGAAATAGGAACACTTTTACACTGTTGGGGGGTTGTAAACTAGTTCAACCATTGTGGAAGTCAGTGTGGCCACTCCTCAGGGATCTAGAACTAGAAATACCGTTTGACCCAGCCATCCCATTATTGGGTATATGCCCAAAGGACTATAAATCATGCTGCTATAAAGACACATGCACATGTATGTTTATTGTGGCATTATTCACAATAGCAAAGACTTGGAACCAACCCAAATGTCCAACAATGATAGACTGGATTAAGAAAATGTGGCACATATACACCATGGAATACTATGCAGCCATAAAAAATGATGAGTTCATGTCCTTTGTAGGGACATGGATGAAATTGGAAATCATCATTCTCAGTAAACTATCACAAGAACAAAAAACCAAACACCGCATATTCTCACTCATAGGTGGGAATTGAATAATTAGAACACATGGACACATGAAGGGGGACATCACACTCTGGGGACTGTTGTGGGGTGGGGGGAGGGGGGAGGGATAGCATTGGGAGATATACCTAATACTAGATGACGAGTTAGTGGGTGCAGCGCACCAGCATGTCACATGTATACATATGTAACTAACCTGCACATTGTGCACATGTACCGTAAAACTTAAAGTATAATAATAATTAAAAAGAAGACAAATATGGCATAATGATGCTTAAATGAGGGACCTAAGATAATCTTATTTATAGAGAAAGTAGAGTGGTGGTTTCCATGGATTTACAGAGGAAAGAATGCGTTATTGTTTAATGGGTATGAAGTTTCAGTTGGGAAGCTGAAAAACAGTTCTAAAGATGAATGGTGGTGATGATTGTCCAACAATATTGGGCAATCATACTTAATACCACTGAAGTGTGCACTTAAAATGATTAAAATGATAATTTTTATGTTATGTATATTTTACTAAAATAAAAAATTATGTCCAAAAGTAAATATTAAATCATTACTAATCTTTGCTGAAAGAAAATGAAGAGGTAAAAAATTCTAAGTATTTTCTTAAGTGTAAGGCAAATTATTGTTAAAATCAAAGCACTGAACATACATGCTGTTATTCTGTATGACATAGTAAATGCTCTGTAAAATGTGGGTTTTTTTTACGAGATACCTGCTGTTATTTTTTATTATCCTTTCATCTAAAAATAATGACCTTAAAAAGTGAGTTCTTTGGGTTACGAATGCAGATGTCTAAACACAGAAAACAAGTTTATTGTTTCTTTTAACAAAAAGGATTATATATTATAGAGTAATCCGAAAACAAAGGTTAAAGAGAAGAATAAAAGGCATAAATTTCACCGGCATCAACACTGTTAGGAATACATCCCTCCCTTGAGTTCATGTCCTTTGTAGGGACATAGATGAAGCTGGAAACCATCATTCTGAGCAAACTAGCTCAAGGATAGAAAAACCAAACACCGCATGTTCTCACTCATAGGTGGGAATTGAACAATGAGAACACTTGGACACAGGGCAGGGAACATCACACACCGGGGTCTGTCGTGGGGTGGGGGGAGGGGGGAGGGGGGAAGGATAGCATTAGGAAAAATACCTAATGTAAATAATGAGTTAATGGGTGCAGCAAACCAACATGGCACATGTATACATATGTAACAAACCTGCATATTTTGCACATGTATCCTAGAACTTAAAGTATAATAAAATATATATAATAAAATAAAAAGAATATATCCCTCCTTCTCATCTCTCTCTGTCTATTCCTCTCTGTATATATGTGTTTATATGTACCTCATAGATACACCTTTTATGTAACCACAAAAAATACAAAATATATATGTTCACATTTGTACATATATAACATATGTATAAACACAAAGAATTTCATATATATATATATATATAGAGAGAGAGAGAGAGAAAAAAAAAAATCAGTATTGCAAGATGAAAAGAGTTCTGGCTGGGCTCAGTGGCTCCCATCTGTAATTCCAGCACTTTGGGAGGCCAAGGCAGATGGATCACTTGAGGTCAGGAGTTCGAGTCCAGACTGACCAACATAGTGAAGCCCTGTCTCTCTCTACTCAAAAAAAAAAAAAAAAAAAAAAAAAAATTAGCTGGGCGTGCTGGTGTGTGCCTGAAGTCCCACTCCTCGGGAGGCTGAGGCAGGAGAATCTCTTGAACCCAGGAGGCGGAGGCTGCAGTGAGCAGAGACTGTGCCACTGCACTCCAGTCTAGGCAATAGAGTGAGACTCCCTCTCAAAAAAAAAAAAAAAAAAAAAAAAAAAAAAAAAAAATTAGCTGGGCGTGGTGGCACATGCCTGTAATCCCAGCTACTCAGGAGGCTGAGGCAGGAGAATTGCTTGAATCTGGGAGGTGGAGGTTGCGGTGAGCCGAAATCGCGCCATTGCACTCCAGCCTGGGCAACAAGAGCGAAATTCCGTCTCAAAAAAAAAAAAAAGGAAAAAAAAAGAGTTCTGGTGATTGGTTGCATAACAATGTGAATGTATTTGACACTACTGAAGGGTACACTTAACAACTGTTAAGATAGTAAATTTTATATTACACATATTTTATCATAATTTAAAATTTCAAAAAGCACATAATAAATATTTTTAAAAGATGCTGTCAACAGAAGATCAGTTTCAAAAATTATTGAGAAAAGTATTTGTGAATATATTACAAAATAAAAAATCAATGATAAATCTCGGAATTCCTATTAATATTACAAATTTCAATATAGAAATTAAAAAATTAGTTATTTCCTAAAGATAAATTTTATTATTTGTAAAGTCTATGTAATTATACCAAGCAAAAATAGTTATATAAAAGTTTTTCATTAGTTTCACTCAAGATAATTTTTGATAATATATTATAAATTAGCAGTATTTCATGTTACACATCATAGCATAGACTAAAGAGCATAAACACAAATTCAAGCAAGCTGAATTATTAATACTTAAAAGATCCCATTAATAGATCCAACTATAGAAACCTCACAAGCAGCTTATGGCATAAAAGTATGTGAGGATCTTGTTTCTTTAAAGATGTGAACCCTGACATTTAAAAAGTGCAATATGATTAGCAAACTATGTTAGGCTCTTCTAAAGTAAATAAACTTCTTATTTATCCTTAATAGTCAAACCCAAAAGATTAGAGCTCCAGAGCAGTTATCTATTCATGAATGATATTTCCATGAAAATAGAGTACTTATAAATGACTTGGGAAAATGTAATGCTAATCCTATTAGAACTGACATCTTTGATTCAAGAAAGTGGTATTTATAAACAATAAAATATTATCCCAGCATGTATTATTTTTAAAAATTATTAAACCACTTAAATGTATTTTCTAATTAATGTTAAGTCATTTATGAGGTAGGTAAACACAATTTAATAGATCACTTGAACTGCATCACTAAAAAGATACTCCTTTTGCAGGTAAAACAGGCTATGGAAGCACCACTTTAAAAAAATTATACACACACACATACATGCCATATATTTTATAATTTTATATATTATATATAATATACGTATATATAATAAAATATAATAAAAAGATACCAAGATCATGATCAAGGCCAAAAGACACACTTGAAATAATTTCCCATAATTATACAGAGGGCAGGAAGTCTTAGGAATATGCAAAGGTTTTTGTTCATGACACAGAGTGGGAACAAATCCTTTAAATTATATACCACTAGTAATACTGAATCTTATACTCGTGAGAAAGACAAATATGATAATCACAAAAACAATATATTCTACTGTTTGATAGAAAAAATAAGACCCAGTATTCAATAGAACAGTAGGGTTACTATAGTTTAGTATAATTTATTTATTGTATGTTTCATAAAGCTAGAAGAGAGTAACTTGAATGTTTCTAGCTTAAAGAAAAGACAAATATTTAAGATAATGAATATCCCAATTATGCTGATCTGATCTTTACAAATTATAGGAAAGTATTAAATTATCACATACACCCTCAAAATATGTACATCTCTTACATATCAATAAAAACTGAAATTAATTTAAAAGCAAACAATATATTCTTCCCTACTGCTAAATTATTGAGTGGAGAGCTTGTAGTAAACAATTTCAAAGTATTTTCCTTTTTTTCTTGCATATCTTTAGGCTTCAGTAGAATACAGAACATACATCTTTGAGGGGATGTTTGAAAATCATATACATTCAAATTTGTGAAAGAAACTTGAAGATTATATACATCAACCCCTATTTTTTTAATTGACTGATTTGCTGTCTTGCCCAAAGTCAGTGCCAGAAGATTTAGAACCAATATTTTTAATTTAGTAGTAACTTAATCATAGTGTATTATGCATTTATCTTCAGAAAAACCTGGGAATATTAATGTCTTCATAATCTTATTCACCACACACAAATTTTAATAATTACATTAAATCGCTGTATTAGTCATTCCAGGTAATAAAAAAATGAAGAAAAATAGTAACTATTCCTATGTTTCAAAAATTCAGTGGAAAACATAAAATCAGTCAAATGTGAAAGAAATTGAATGTAAGGCAAAATATGAGATGACATAGAGAGTTATAAACAAAGTTCAAGTGAGAATGCAAAGCAGGTATTTGGTAGTCATTAAATATATTGTGGAGCAGAAAATTTGATAAGAAAATAAAATTACTTCATAAAGATAGCTGGTCATACATATCCTACTTAAAGAGCAAGGAAGGTCAAACCTATTCTTCATCATCAGTGAAGTAAATATGCATTGTGTATTAGGGAAAGTCTCATTCAATTCCTTGAAAATAGACATGTAAAACACACAAGGGAAACAGAAACTATTAAAATGCTTCAACTTCGTCATATTTTCAAAATTCAGCAGGCTATGAACAATATAAGGCCTTTAGAAAGTCATCCAAAATTACCCAAATGTGAAATGCTAATTTCTAAATTACACAAATAAATACACCAATGATACCAGAAAACTTTGTGGAGTTTGCAAATTATTCGCTTTAAAGCATGTAGCTGGTTTAATGAAATATGTCAAATCTCAGATCACCAAATCAATTTCAAAAGATATGGAGAAAAACAGGGTGATTATCATACACATAGTTTATCCTCTTTGGTCAGGCTTTACACACCATCAGTCCTTCAGGACTATGCGTTTTGACTGTGAACACACTACTACCAAGTCATGAATCTAAATGTTTTAATATGTTTATGGGAAGTTTTAACTATTACTTCAATTATTTAAAATTAAAATTTGCTGGCAAAGACAGAAACCCTATGAATTAGTTGAAATTTTCCAAAAGATTCTATTTAGTAATATGATCTCAGGGATAAATAACATGATTAAATAAATAAATAAATGTAGCAACACTCATAGCAAGAAAACAGAAAATATTAACTCCTTCATGTAAGCAGAACACTGCTTCTCTGAAAACTCCAGCTCCAATTACAATAAATCCGTCTCCCACCATCAACTATCCATTTACATAATCATTTAAATCTGTTACACAGGTACAGTGGTGTCAGAATTGTAAACAAATATCTCCTATAGAAAAAAACTTATTCAAAAGCTACCTTGTAGAAATGTACAGCATATGTATGTTGTTTAATTAATCTCAAACACACAGAAAAAAAATGGTATTAGAACTACCAAATTGTTTACATAATGTTATTGAAGCAGATGGCAAATTATGGTAAGCAGATCTTGGCTGTGATTCTCGGCATTCCCTTCCTTCCAGGTTTCAGGATGGCAATTTTGTCTGAAACTCAGTTATCCAATGGGTCAAATAAAATTTCTTTATTTTCAGGGTTTTTTTAGTTATTGTTATTTTTGTTGTAAAGACAGGAGTGACAATTATTAAGCTCTTTGTATATATTAGAGCTGAAACCAAAAGTCCTTTCTATTTTCTTTAAACTACAAGTCATTAAATTTCACATTTCAAATTTTAGAATGGTTGCTAGAATGCAACATCAGAATAAGATCGCTCTACTAAGATTTTGAAGAGCATGATGGAATATAAACAAGTGGATCATAAGAGGCTAAATGATAATGAAAAATAAGAGATAACAGACAAATTTTAGAATGTGGTTTAAATTTATACAAAAACTTATATGTGATGATTTGTCTATGCATTGTACTTATGATTTCTTAATGATAAACTCTTATTTCTGCTGTTTTATTTCTTCATATTAAGATAAATAATAGCCTATAGACAAAGATGAACATGAGTCTGTTAAGTGATTTTGGGGAATTTCCTTCATTTTTATACCGATCTTATTAAAATCTTCATTTATATATGTAATCCTACATATATACTATAAATATCTGCTAAACAAATTACATCAGATGCAAAAAAATCATGATTTTTTTTAAAAATACAGATAGAACTTCTAGATATGCATGTTCTCCACACTTAACTTCTAATCAAACCTTAGGAGGCAAAAGCACATACAGTATCAGACAGCAACACCAGCATAATACACTGTACATGGTAAGTACATAGTATCCTAACGTACAGTTCTCTAAGATCCTAATTTCAGTTATCACCCTTATTACCAACTGTAAGAAGGGCACACCAAAGGCGCTCAAGAAATAAGATATCACTAAAATAAATTTCTTATGTCAATAATTTCCATTTAATGTAATAGATTATAATATGTCATATGACAAATATTAAAATATATTTTGAGTGACAACAACTATATTCCATGTATTGGGTTATGCAGAGATTGCAAGATGAAATAAGACAGAAATGGTGCCTGTTCGTGCAAAGCTTACCATTCAGTGTACACAAATGCTCTCATCAAATATTGCCCTGTTCTAATTACAGCAGTTTTTTCTTTTTGATGTATTTATGGAATTGAGTCATTCTGGGGAAGAAACGTGAGGATGAACATGTATCAACACTGACTGTATAGTCCACCTTTCTGTGAATGCGCATAAAGACTTTGGAGCAAGATACTTCATTCTTGAATGGCAAGGCAGAATGTAACAGAAGTCGTTATAGATATAAATAACCAAGCAATTTTGTTTCACAGTTAAAAAGATAATGTGCTAGTTAATAAGGATTCCCCTTGCCTAGCCCCCAAATAAAAAAGAAAATTCACTATAACATCAAAAGCAATTCTATTCTGTTTTTTTTTTTTTTTTTTTTTTTTTTTTTTGTCTTATTGCGTTCTACACATTAAAGGAATTTTGTGCGAATAGTCTGCTGGTGGCCTCCCAAGGCTTAAGTGGAATGTTGGGCCTAGTGCCTTGAAATAGCCATATTTTTGGAGAATGAAACTAAGAAGTAATTGCCAATGACAGCATTTAGTGGAATAATAGATTTGCACTAAAGAAAAAGAGAATTCCAACAGAACAAAATGAGAAGACTGGATTAAGATGTAAAGAGTTTCCAAGTGGAGAGAAATGCTAGCCTGCAGCAATTTCTTCTTATACTCTTGCCTGCCACCTCTACCTTGAATGTAGTTGAAAAGGAGTAAACATAAACTAATCCTCACGCATTTTTCCATACTCATCCTGAAGCAGCTGCATAATAATCTTTAAATCCTTGACATTACTTGATTACGCAGTTTAATTAGCACACCACTTATCACTGAATATTAGAGGTTTTTCATCTCACATCTCATACCACTTTTAAAAATCACATCTCTGAAGGCCAAAAGTTTTAATAACAATTAATTAAGCATAATGCTCACTTACATTGAGAAATATCAAGTCTTTATTTTTAAAAGTGTATTAAGTTTTTTAAAATATATTTTCACTGGAATCCTTGTTCAAAATTTGACACTGTGATGCTCATAAAAAAGACATTTGTTCAAGGTAAAAATAAAACTACCATATAATCCAGCAATCCCACTACTAAGTATGTATCCAAAGGTAAGGAAATTAGTATTTTGGAGGTATATCTGCCCTCCCATGTTTATCACAGCACTATTCACAATAGCCAAGGTAGGGAATCAACCAATGTGTCCATCATCAGACAAATGGATAAAGCAAACTTGCTGTATATGCATAATGGAATATCATTTAGCCTTAACAAAGAATGAAATGCTGTCATGGGGAAATAATGTTAAGAGAAATAAATCAGGCACAGAAAGATGCATATTATATGTTCTCATTCATATGTGGAGGCTAAAAAAGTTGATCTCATAGAAGTAGAGAGCAGAATAGTGATTACTAGAGGCTAGGAAGGGTAGGGGGACAGGGAGAGGTTGGTTAATGTATGCAATATTACAGCTAGATAGGAGGAATGAGCTCTGGTGTTCTATAGCGCTGTGGGGTAACTATAGTAAACAATAATTTATTTTAATTTTTCAAACAATTAGAAGAGTGGCTTTTCAATGTTACCCAACACAAGAGTTGGAGATGATGGGTATGCTAGTAACTCTGACTGGAACATGATTTCTAATTATGTTTTTTACTATCATGCCTGTAGC
Organism: Homo sapiens; assembly: GCF_000001405.40. Lineage (NCBI taxonomy): Eukaryota > Metazoa > Chordata > Mammalia > Primates > Hominidae > Homo > Homo sapiens. The sequence goes on from NW_015148967.1 coordinate 87,346, forward strand.
CACATTGAAGGGGTTTACTTACACATGCGAATAAAGCTAATTCTGAGTGTGTTACTTCAGCGATGCATTGTGAGTTGCTTTATTACAGTGAATTGAACTGTTTACCAATCAGCGAATTTTCCAGGCAAGTGTTTAGGACATATTTTAAAGGATGATTCTTAGAATTGTGTTTATAGCCTTTTTGTGAGGAGTTTTCATATATACTTTGTAAAGCTAAATCTCAGCATGTTCCTTCAGAGATGTATTATGAGGTGCTTTATTACAGTGAAGTGAAATGTTTACCCATAGTCAACTCTGTAATCAAGTGTTTAGGAATGCTTTTTAACAAAGTTATTTCATTACACATTGTATATATGCCTCAAAATATCACACTGTACTCCATAAATACGTACAATTACTATGTGTCATTTAAACATGTATATTTTAAAAAGTTTTTTTGATAAAATATATTTGAGCATATCAAGTTTAGTTTTATAAGATTATAACTTTATGTGAAAATTTTTCACAGCTCACAGGATTATGAAATTTCTTAAGTTTTAAGGTTACATTCTAGATAATAATTATAATTTTACTAAGTAATATATTTTAGTTATTAAAAGCTTGTGTTATACAGAATTGTATATTACTTGCATGAACGATAGTAACTATAAATATGTCTATGCAGTTGGGTATGCACATACCCCTCACATATGTATCAAATACACATACATATACATATGTGTAGGGACTATCAAATACACATACATATGCATATGTGTAGACATGTACATATACACATACATAATTATGTAATCAATTGAAATCAGCCTTTGACTTTAGTATTCATCCCTGACTATGTTTTTAATGAATTCTAAAGAAATTCTGTTTTCTAAGTGGGTAAATGTTCTGTTTTTTAAGTGGGTAAATATTTTTAAGTGTTTTTGTGTTCTCATAAACATCAGATTAATACCGAAAATTATTCTTATCTTCCATACTCCAGGTTTCTTAAAGGAACCTTCCTCAGAGACTATGTTACTTTTTCATCATTAATTTGAACCTGTATTTTAATCACTATACTCATGTCAAACCAATCTTTCTGTTTGTTTTTTTAGTTGTTGAGTTTATTTTAATAATTTGAGATTGGTTTATTAAATACATAATTAAACTAAAGAACCAAAATATCACTCTATGAAGAGAACAAAATTTGGCTCATATAGTTCATTAGTGGTAAAATATCTTCAAATTGGTTTGGAATTTTTTAGTAGAAACATATATGGATATTTTACACAAATAATTTTGGGTATGTTTGCTTATTTTGCCACTGTTTACATGTAAACAGTATATAAAATGTCCTTTTGATTTAGGAAATTCTAATATTAGATACTACAGAATTTAAATTTCTCTTTTTTTTTTCTATTGATTATTTTTCCACTAGACTCCTTTGTTTGAACTTGTGGACCTATCCAATTTTCAGCTGTACTTGATACAATTCCCAAACCCTGAAAAATTATTTTCCAGTTTCATGTCATCATGTGATATCAACTCAAAAAGTGTTAATATTTAACCTTACTTAAATTTTTGCATTGATTTCTAATTTCTTTGACTAACGTTTATAAAAATAGCATCAACTAGTGTAAGGTATTTTTATTACCTACCAACCAATCAACATACAAAAATTCAAATTCACTCTGAATGTGTTAGAAAAGAAACTGAAAGCTCCTTGAGGGAAATATAATAATACTGAGTTATTTATTAAATTATTGGGTGCTAACATTATGGTAGCCAGGTACTAAGTCCTTTAAATATCTTTTCTGTTTCCTACAAAAATGTGAGATTAATTTACAATCATCATTATGCAGGAGAAAAATGAGGTTTAAATAAATTAAGTAACTTGGCTGAGATCTCATGCTGATAATCCACAGTGTTAAGAACTGAACGAGCTCTGTTAAACTTTGAAGTCTATATTTTTAGCCAACATGTTACACTACTTCTCTAAGTCTGTTTCTTTCATTTCTATGGTCATTGTAACTTAGAAGCAGTAAGTACTCACAGAATGCTTATTACATGTTGAGAAACTTGATTCCTAACATTTTCTTTTTTTTATTATTATTATTGTTATTATACTTTAAGTTTTAGGGTACCTGTGCACAATGTGCAGGTTAGTTACATATGTATACATGTGCCATCCTGGTGTGCTGCACCCATTAACTCGTCATTTAGCATTAGGTATATCTCCTAATGCTATCCCTCCCCTCTACCCCCACCCCACAACAGTCCCCGGAGTGTGATGTTCCCCTTCCTGTGTCCATGTGTTCTCATTATTCAATTCCCATCTAAGAGTGAGAACATGCGGTGTTTGGTTTTTTGTCCTTGAGATACTTTACTGAGAATGATGATTTCCAATTTCATCCATGTCCCTACAAAGGACATGAACTCATCATTTTTTATGGCTGCTTAGTATTCCATGGTGTATATGTGCCATATTTTCTTAATCCAGTCTATCATTGTTGGACATTTGGGTTGGTTCCAAGTCTTTGCTATTGTGAATAGTGCCGCAATAAACATACATGTGCATGTGTCTTTATAGCAGCATGATTTATAGTCCTTTGGGTATATACCCAGTAATGGGATGGCTGGGTCAAATGGTATTTCTAGTTCTAGATCCCTGAGGAATCGCCACACTGACTTCCACAATGGTTGAACTAGTTTACAGTCCCACCAACAGTGGAAAAGTGTTCCTATTTCTCCACATCCTCTCCAGCACCTGTTGTTTCCTGACTTTTTAATGATCGCCATTCTACCTGGTGTGAGATGGTATCTCATTATGGTTTTCATTTGCATTTCTCTGATGGCCAGTGATGATCAGCATTTTTTCATGTGTTTTTTGGCTGCATAAATGTCTTCTTTTGAGAAGTGTCTGTTCATACCCTTTGCCCACTTTTTGATGGGGTTGTTTGTTTTTTTCTTGTAAATTTGTTTGAGTTCATTGTAGATTCTGGATATTAGCCCTTTGTCAGATGAGTAGGTTGCAAAAATTTTCTCCCATTTTGTATGTTGCCTGTTCACTCTGATGGTAGTTTCTTTTGCTGTGCAGAAGCTCTTTCGTTTAATTAGATCCCATTTGTCAATTTTGGCTTTTGTTGCCATTGCTTTTGGTGTTTTAGACATGAAGTCCTTGCCCATGCCTATGTCCTCAATGGTAATGCCTAGGTTTTCTTCTAGGGTTTTTATGGTTTTAGGTCTAACGTTTAAGTCTTTAATCCATCTTGAATTAATTTTTGTATAAGGTGTAAGGAAGGGATCCAGTTTCAGCTTTCTACATATGGCTAGCCAGTTTTCCCAGCACCATTGATTAAATAGGGAATCCTTTCCCCATTGCTTGTTTTTCTCAGGTTTGTCAAAGATCAGATAGCTGTAGATATGTGGCGTTATTTCTGAGGGCTCTATTCTGTTCCATTGATCTAATCTCTGTTTCGGTACCAGTACCATGTTGTTTTGGTTACTGTAGCCTTGTAGTATAGTTTGAAATCAGGTAGCGTGATGCCTCTGGCTTTGTTCTTTTGGCTTAGGATTGACTTGGCGATGCAGGCTCTTTTTTGGTTCCATATGAACTTTAAAGTAGTTTTTTCCAATTCTGTGAAGAAAGTCATTGGTAGCTTGATGGGGCTGGCATTGAATCTATAAATTACCTTGGGCACTATGGCCATTTTCACGATATTGATTCTTCCTACCCATGAGCATGGAATGTTCTTCCATTTGTTTGTATCCTCTTTTATTTCCTTGAGCAGTGGTTTGTAGTTCTCCTTGAAGAGTTCCTTCACATCCCTTCTAAGGTGGATTCCTAGGTATTTTATTCTCTTTGAAGCAATTGTGAATGGGAGTTCACTCATGATTTGGCTCTCTGTTTGTCTCTTATTGGTGTATAAGAATGCTTGTGATTTTTGTACATTGATTTTGTATCCTGAGACTTTACTGAAGTTGCTTATCAGCTTAAGGAGATTTTGGGCTGAGACAATGGGGTTTTCTAGATATACAATCATGTCATCTGCAAACAGGGACAATTTGATTTCCTCTTTTCCTAATTGAATACCCTTTATTTCCTTCTCCTGCCTAATTGCCCTGGCCAGAACTTCCAACACTATGTTGAATAGGAGTGGTGAGAGAGGGCATCCCTGTCTTGTGCCAGTTTTCAAAGGGAATGCTTCCAGTTTTTGCCCATTCAGTATGATATTGGCTGTGGGTTTGTCATAGATAGCTCTTATTATTTTGAGATACGTCCCATCAATACCTAATTTATTGAGAGTTTTTAGCATGAAGGGTTATTGAATTTTGTCAAAGGCCTTTTCTGCATCTATTGAGATAATCATGTGGTTTTTGATGTGTATGTATGTTTGCTCTGCATTTTACCAAGTATATCTCTGTTGCTAAACTACTTGTGTGTGTAACTTATATACGTTTTTATGACCCATTTCATTAATGTTTAAAAGATAGGTGCATCTAGTATACCTGTACTGCCACAATTTATAAATTATAAAGCTTTCTCCTTTAGAGCAACTCTTATTAAGACCATTATAAAATATATAAAAGTGTATATGCTGGCGGGTAGGGGAAGGTCCATTTTTTAAAAATGTTTTTGTGCTTAATTCTGAGTTTTGGTGACATTATTCCGCCTCCCATTTATGAGCCAAGGAAGATTTGACAACTTCTCCACTTGGTCTGTATATACCGAGTGCAATGAGTACTTTTCGCTAGTAGGGCTACTAAAGGCTTAGAGGCACATTAAGGAGGAAGAGGTGAAAAGTGTGGCACTTTAAAGTAGGATTCACAGAGTAACAGAATATGCTTCTACATGATGTTAAAAGTTTCTTTAAACAAGTTGCAACCACCGAAAATACTCACTTATTAAACGTGGCTTACATAGCAATTTTATAAATTTTCACAACCAAAAGCATTGGCAATGACAGCAAAATGGTAAATTTAGTCACCCAAATCCTATTACTATACTGTACATGCTTATTGTAAGCACAATTCTGCTATTGACATGTGAAGAAACAGCCACACAGATGGGAGCCAGGATAGAGTGATATGGCTTTATTTTTAACGTTTTGAAAGTTTTCTCATATGGCACTGCAGATATAGAGAATATATGTTTTCAGAAATTCTAATTCGTGCATCTTTCTAAGGAAATAACACTAAAGGAAGGACTATGTGAGTGTGTTTGCATGTGCTCCTATGCTCAATAATTTTTTATAGTCAAGTCACATTAACATACCCAGAAGGATTCCTTAACACTTGCAGAACAATTTTATTGCTAGAATATGTAATATTTTGAAAATTGTTTCCTCTCTCCACCCACCACAACTGTCATCCACAAAGCCCAGCTTACTTCTTTAGAGAAAGTCAGCGTGACATATTTTTTGTGGGAGTTCACATAGCAGCTTCCTCAAATAATGTGTTGGTCCATCTGATTTATCCTGTTTCCATTTCTGGTAATCTCTTTACAGCCCACGTCAGACTTCTAGCCCCAAATCTATTCATTTTTTATAGAGCATTCTCAGCCAAGCCTACATCTTTCAGGCTACTTCACTAAAAAATAAAAAAGTGAATGTTAGGAGATTTTCTACTAGATATCTATAACCAACATATATGAATGAGAATAATCACACGTTTCAAAAATACAATGAGTAATTGTATATAATTGAAACTCTAATATCTCTTGAAGTTAAAATATCTTTCCATGTCTAAAGGAAAATTATGGATATAAATCTCACTTTAATAGTAATATGATTACATGATAATTATTAGTGTTAAAAGTGCTTTTATTCAGATGCTCTTGTAAACTAAATGAATCTAATTATATAAAATTTTGAATTTTGAGGCAAACATTTTGCAATTGCAATTGTATCTTACATTGCATGTTATATGCCTATATATTAATATGTGACAATAGTCTATGTGCTCATAGGCAAGCAATAGCTAGAAGTTAACTATAGAGGTAAAGATGGTATTTATATGAATGTTTACATTTATATTAATTTTATTTATAAGTACTTATTTGATATTATTTAAGTATATATCAAACTTTATGTGAAATTACATATTGATATATAAATTCATATGCTAAGTGCTAATATATATTTATATGCAAATATTCCACAGTATGTATATGTAAGTATGTAAAATGTCTTTTTTGCATCTTTGTAAAAATGTATTTCTATTATGCTTCAGAAAAAGTGCACAGATGATTAAAATTTTTAAAGAGAAAATGAGACTACAATATTTACATAAGGGATTTAAAATTATAAGACAGTACTATAAACATACTACCTCTACAGATTTGAGAATTTCTACAAATTAAATAACAATGTAATTTATCTTGGCATCCACAGCAAGGAAATTACAGCTTATTGTAATACTAGAAATGTGTGCTGCTATGATTTTTATATTACTGTATTACTGTACTTTGAGTTGCTTAAAAATAGTCTGTACTATAAATTTTTATCTACATGTACACACAGAATAATCATTTGTGAGGGTCTTTGTGTCTCTCCATTACCTCAAAATATATTTTTCTCAGTGATATGAAAATTAAAATTTAAAATGTTTTCTTTTATATGAACCACCCTATTTACCAGTGAAGAACCTATTTGTTGTGTGATGGGCAAAAAAGTACATTAAAAAGTTATAAGAATATCAAGTTGTTTTCTGAAATAGAATTGGAATTATCAATTTCTATAGACAAATCAAATGCATCCTAATTATATAAGTATTTTTATGATGCATTTTTATTCCCCCTTACAGCTGTAAATCATACTGAATGATTTATTACTCCCAAAATATATGATATCATAGTATTTTTCTTAACTTATAAAATCTCACACTAACTCCAAAAACATCCCTGAAATACAACTTACCAAGTATATAGCTAAAATAATATATTTCAGGTTAACTGAGAAATATTAATTAAGACTTAAAATAAATTCATTACAAATTTATTGATCCAGTCATAACATACTATAATTATCTGAATACAGTAGTTTTCCCCTATCCACAGGATATACGTTGTAAGACCTCCCAGTGGATGCCTAAAACCTCGAGTAGTACTGAACCCTGTATTTATTAATACTATGTTTTTCCCTATACATACATAACTACAAAAAAGCTTAATTTATAAATTAAGCACACTATGAGATTGACAATAAATAATACTAAAATAGAATAATTATAACAATACTCAGAACAAGGTACAACTTAAAACTTAGAAATTGTCTATTTCTGGTATTTCTTTAATATTTTCAGGCTATGGTTGACCAAAGATAACTGAAATCATGGAAAGCAAAATTGCAGATAAGGGGCGACCACTGTAATACTGTCTCCCCAGGCTCCATCCATTTCTACAACCAGTCTATTCCATTCTTTCCTAAAATTAATAAGAGGGAAAAAACACACTTTCATCATATGCATCCCAATAACAAAAAAGTAAATTTAGCATGTTATATATTTAGTATCACATTATGAAACTTTATAATGATTAAGTAATTCTTCATTATACTCCTCCTTATACTTATCAACACTGGCAGAGAGACCTATGCTTTTGAGCAAACAGAAAAATCTGGAACAGAAAAACCCTGCAGGAAGCTTTGAATCACAAAATTTGAGGCATAGAATCAACTTCAGAGATGAACAAGCTAGATTCCCATATAGTATATGAAGAATCTGAGGCAAAAACAAATAAAACTCCTCCCCAGAAAAGAAGTTGAAAAGTTTGCAGATCACAAGACTAACTGCTGACAGAAGTAAAATAAGTAAAAAAAGATGACAAGGATGACAAAGAAGAAAGAGAAAGAGGAAGAGAAGGAGAAGAAAAATGAAATCCAGGTCTACAATTGAGACTGCCTGATTTCCAAACTCTTAATAATGCCATGGGAGTAAAATGTCAAACTCTTGCTCTTCTGATTCTTGGGGCTCTTTGTGGGTATCAAAAGGCCACATGGACACAGATTCCACTTAATCAGAACCACTTGCTTCATCTATTGTAAATATCAGAATTCTACCCAATACATCATTTCATTTGTAGATTTTTGGCTTGGAACCATTATGGGTAGAGAATGGAATGAACATATTGCACATATCTATTTGTTCCTGAAAGCTTAAAACTGCCAGGTCAAAATGACTGTGTACACACACACACACACCACACACGCACGTGTGCACACACACACACTAGAAATATGTACTGCTATATATATTTATTCATTTTGAGACAGAGTCTCGCTGTGTCGCCCAGGCTGGGGTGCAGTGGCGCGATCTCGGCTCACTGCAACCTCCGCCTCCAGGTTCAAGTAATTTTTCTGCCCCAGCCTCCCAAGTAGCTGGGACAACAGGTGCCCACCACCATGCCCAGATAATTTATTTTGTATTTTTAGTAGAGATGGGGTTTCACTACGTTGGTCAGGCTGGTCTTGAACTCCTGAACTCATGATCCACCTGCCTCGGCCCCCCAAAGTGCTGGGATTACAGGTGTGAGACACTGCACCTGGACCATAATTTTTTTATTACTGTATTACCATACAATAATATGAAATATATATGTATATATGTATATGTATATAACAAACATGTATGTATATGTATATATTGTCTGTAAGGAGATATATATGTGTATAAATACATATACACATACACATATATATCCATTTACAAACTATATATATACACACACACATAATGATATAAATGGATATAGATGTGGATATACATACACATATTTATGTGTATTTATATTACATAAATATATATACACATATATATTCATTTACAGACATATACACATATATATCCATTTACAGACAATTTCAAACTTCTGATTTTTCAACTTTATGAAGAGTTTATTGGTTATTAAATGCATTTTCAACTTCAGACATTTTTGCCTTGTGAAAGGTTTATCAAAACATTTAACCATATCATAAGTTGAGGATCATGTGTGTTTGAAACCATCTTCAAACTGGAGAAAATGTGAAAATTCAATGATTTCTTTTAATGAGAGCTAGGCCACTAAATTCTCACTTATAAAATTAGTAAGTAAAGGGAAACCTATTTAAGTGTTTGCTTTGGTTCTCTTATTTTATAAACCTAGCTGATTCCTTACAGAGCAACTTAAGTGAATAAATGTAGAAAATAATAGAATAGAATAATCATTTTGCCATCTCAAATAAAGTGATCTATCCAGCCTATAAAAATCAATGACTATGAAGATGATGGGAAACTTTTAAATGGTATTATCATGTCATCGCTTGAGCCCACGGTTGACTCCTAACTTGGCCATGATTGAGATGCTATGTAGCCTCCTGATGTGATACAGTATAAAGCACAAGGTACTTCTTGTGCAGTACTCTTGAGGGTAAGTTAAGTCAAAATCTAATAGAGACTTTAGATTTAACTTGCAATTTGCAGTAAGTCCTGGAGATAGGTGAATATGCTGACACCACAAGGAAAAACATTAAACCAGAGTATAGGGCATTCTACTAGACAAAAGATAACATTTCTTCAAGTAAAGAACCCTTAGAAGAGAAAATGGCAGGCAGGGATAGAAAGAGAGGGCAGTTTGTTGTTGTTGAGACGGAGTCTCGCTCCATCGCCCAGGAGTTGGAGTGCGGTGGTGAGATCTGGGCTCACTGCAAGCTCCGCCTCCCGGGTTCACGCCATTCTCCCGCCTCAGACTCCTGAGTAGCTGGGATTACAGGCACCCGCCACCACACCCAGCTAATTTTGTTTTTGTATTTTTAGTAGAGACGGGGTTTCACCGTCTTATCCAGGATGGTCTCCATCTCCTGACCTCGTGATCTGCCCGCCTTGGCCTCCCAAAGTGCTGGGATTACAGGCGTGAGAAAGAGAGAACAATTTTAATTTAAAAGAAACATAACAAAAATTAATGTCATGTATATCACTGACAAATCATCAAACTGAATCAAAATAAAGTTTTCATTAAATTTTCTATTTGTAGGTTTTTAGCATGATTCAGTCACCATGTTATCTGTTTTACTCCTTTGAAAGACACCATATAATGGCTACACAGCTCACTTGTATAGTGTTCTAGAAAGTCATATTTCAGGGTAAGTGATCCCACACAATTAGCATGCCTCCTGACACTGTAGATATCTGGGTCTTTTATATGAGGCCATTTAAATTCATAAAAATCTTAAAGGAATTTAAAAGTTAACCCATGTGTACATGCAAGCCAACAAAAGAAAAACAAATATTTGAATTACTGTAGATTTAGCTAACCTCTACTACTGAGAAAGCTTTACAGTATTTATTCCTGAAGCATCTTATCCCTGTTATTTCTGTCATGTATTATTGTGTTAGCAATACAAGATCTTCTACTAATATCTTCTGCAGCCCAATTTATGTGTCCAGTACTTAATGATCGTAAATATAATGTCTCATCATTGCCAGTACCTGACAACATCCAAAAGTCCTATCTTGATTCTAATTTGTCTTTTAATATTCTTTGACACTATTAACCAATTCTATGTAAAACTTATTTTTCTAGACCAACACTTTCTTGCTTGTCTTCCATTTGTCCTGTTTCTTAATTAATAAATTTTCCTCAACCCCCTATAGGTGTCTTCATCCAGGGTTCAAGTAGAGATTTTCATCTTTTCCTTTTTTAGGCTTCAGTTGCCAGCTGTTTATGTTACAAATTTATTTGCCACTACTGAACTCAGTGCACATGATTCAGATTTAAATGATAGTATTAAATTTAATCCTTTAATCTTTAGTAGTTTGTTCACAGTAGAAACTCAGCAACTTCTCACTAACAAACATGAAGCTATTAATATTAGTGTTATAAAGTTAGTATAAATTAAAATGCATCAAAAATATTTTATTACTTTAAAAATTGTATTATTTTCCCTTATTTTTAAACCAAGACATCACATCTCAAAATATACTTAAAGAATCGAGCTTCAATTTATACACAGGCTTAAAATTACCAACTCCCTTTAGCTAATATCATCTTCACTAGTATATGAAATAGAGGTATAAAAGTTTATACAATGACAAAAATGGCATACAAAACATGTTCCTTTAGATATTAATTTAAATAGTCACATTTTAAGAAAGCAGTCTCATGTAAAACATAACTGGGACAGACACAACATAAACTAGGGGAGATATAAGATTTAAATGGAAGAAATGCTATGTCTATTTGTAAATGACTATTATGCATATACTAAAATTTGATTTGAATACTTAAGAATTAAAATCAAGTATTCATATTCTATATTTATATAAGCTTATAAAGGCTAATTATCTGTACTATTATCTAATTAGAAATTTAAAGACATTTCACTTCATAATATAGTTCAATATATTGCAGACAAATGAGCTCTCATTAAACCCAAGAATGATCAACGTATTTTAAATTCTGGACATAGCTAAATGAATATTGAATTAATTATTTCTTCAAATAAAATGCCAAGACTCTAAATATCTTTTTGTTCTCCATTATCCACTCGAAACTTGGAAAATGTTTCACATTTAGTCATATACTACCAAACTATAAGCTACTCTTTAGAATTCAACATGATAATCAGTTGTAACTTGGAAGGATTTCGTTAATTGTAAAGGTATTTATTAATTACTAAGCCGTAGTACTATTCCTAAAGTTCCAAAGAAGGTCATGTTTAAGTCTACATTTTTGTCCTTTAACAATATTCTTAATGATAATAGCAGCAGCAAAACCAACGGTAATAGTTATGGCAAAAATGGATCAACTGCTGCTCTATGAGAGACATTCATAAACTCTACATATATTATCTAACATATCATCATTCCCCTTTTACTGATTATAATCCAAGGCATGCAGTATTTCATCCAAGGTTACAAAGCTTGTTGGTGTTAATGCAGCATTCAAACTCAGGCAGCCTGATTCTAGAATCTTCTATATTGACCAATGCATTCTATGCATTTGCATTCATTGCATTCAGCTTTTGAAATAGGAGCTCAGACATAGTATAAACTAAGAACTAAAAAAAATAATGTTTTTATGCAGTTCAGAATGACTTATAATTAAGGTGGGCCATCCTTATGGCAATATAAGTAACTCTCATCAATCATAATTATTCACTGCCTGCCTATTTCTAGATGAGAAGAAAAATGCCTTCTGAACTCTGTAGTGAATATTTAATAGAAAAATCACTTTTCCATTTTTATATCCTTGAATTTTAACACCCTCTATGACTTCCCATATTCTTGATTATCACATTCTCTTCACCATTATATTGTGGGGGTCAATATCCACTGTGACTTGCCCAAAGTCATAAAGCTAATAAATGAAGAAAGTAGGACCAAACGTGAGATCCTATAATAAATCCCATGCTCTTTCCACTCAGCCACACCGACTCTTTCAAGTGTGCAAATTCGTCATGTCTATGGCCCTTTTCAGGCCCAGAAACCTAAGTTAATGATTTTTAAAGTGAGAAAATTTCACAGAAGATAATGTAAAATTAGTAACATAATAAAGCCAAGTCATGAAACATTTAAATCAAAAGGGGACAGAGAAGGAAAGCATAATCTGACATAACTTCAAAACATTGGAAGATAGTGACTTTTAGATAATAATGATGATGTTTAAACTAATACAAAAATCCAAATTGGTGACTCTAACAACTCTCTAAACAATCCAACATAATGGTCAACATAATTTCAACTGTATTCAAGCATATTGTATTTTTTGTGTCTGTGTGTGTGCAATTAGAATGCAAATGTATATCATATTAATTAGAAAAAATATTCACCTATCAAACCCTCTAAGATATAGTGCAGAGGTGCATTTTTATGTTGTAAAACGTAAAAATTACAATATTCCAGACATTCATATACCATATAGCAATTTAACTCTCAACAGACTTAATTTGTCAAATTTGCAAAGGTCTTCTGACGCTATTTTGGTCCAGATCCAACACATATATGATACATACTGTTTTTTGGTATGTTAAACTGTGGCTTAGGTTTATAAGGATTTTAGCAAAAATGATATGCCTTCATTAGTATAAAAGAAGAATCTCCTCATATGGTAATAAAAATCCCATATTAGCGTATGGATGAAGTCAGGCTTAAAGAATTTTAAATGCAAAGCCATGTTTATTTGGACACTAGTTTCTTTTGAATGAAAAATATAATCCAATAAAAGTGTAGAACTTACAGAACTTTTCCCAGTTTTTTGTTGTTGTTGTTGTTAGCTAACAGCAAGGGGAGAGATATTTTTCTGTTTTTTTTTTCTGTTCTATATCAATTTAAACCTTTATATGACTACATAATTAACAAGTGTTGCTAATTCTGTGTCACCTTACTTACCACCTTGCTATTTTCAATTCCATCCCTCTCTTGTATCCTTTATGGAATAACTCATATTAAAATTTTCATACACTAAATGCAATTATGTATTTTAATATGTTTCCCCAAGTAGAAAAGAGCAAGGTAGTACTCATTTATACTTTAATATGCTTGATGTAGGGAACATATATCCATACATATTTGGAAAGAATAAATAAATTCAGTTTAATATTTCCCTTTACCTGTAAAAGATTATCTAGGAGGGTAGCAAAGTCTACCACACGACTAGTTCTTGACAGAAGCTCATGATGCTTTAGAACAATGTGAATAAAGGAACCAAAGCAACCGGGAAGATCTTTGCTTTGCCTTCACCTAAGACAGGACCCCATAGACAGCTAAACATTTTCTCCACACGCATTTAGGAAAGTAGTCCTTGCTATGTTAATGAGGATGGCTAAGATACACAAGGCACATAATAGTTTGTCAGCCTGGAAGCTTGAGTCCCCTATATTCTAGTGGGAAGGTATTCAGGTCTTCAAAACAAACTCAATTCATTTCACTGGATTTGTTCCAATAATCGTTAAAATCAATTTGAAAACCAGACGGCTGATAGATTGACATCTAGAAGCATAATCTTTAAAAGGAATTAATAATTTTAATATAGTTAGGCTGCCTTCATTCTTAAAACCAAGTTTCACTGTTTTTCTTCTTTAAAAAAATTGAACTATTCAATAAAAATCTAATCACCATTAAAATGAATTTAAATTAAATTGTTCTTATAATGACTTAAAAAATATACAGTATTCAATTAGAATTCAATCATTTCTGTCTGTGTTACCAGTCTGAGTCCATTCTATTTTTCAAGCAAGAATGAAAATAAATATATAGGTACTGAGGAACGAGAATTTTTCCACAAACTTCTGTGGAAATTGAGCCACTGCCTTCAGCTAAAATAGTTTCAGATGGAAAGCTTGACACTAGCCTAATATTAGATATTTTGTGTAAAACATGTTTTCTGCATAAATACCCTTAATAACATTTTCTCTAATTTCTACATAAAACAGTTAAAAACAATTATGTGTTAGGTATTAATCCCGTTTTCATTAATTTTTGTCTGCAAAATAAAACATATTAAATGGATGATAATTTAATGACTGTAACTTAGCTATGTTAATCAAATGAATTGTAAAAAAATGCAAGTGATACAGAAGAGTACTCTATTAGCCAATTTCACACTTATATGAAAAAATACCCAAGACAGGTTAATTTATAAAGAAAAAGAGGTTTAATGGATTCACAGTTCCACATGGCTGGGGAGGCCTCACGATCATGGCAGAAGGCAAGGAGGAGCAAAAGCATGTCTTACATAGCGGCAGGCAAGCAAGATTGTGCAGGGGAATTCCCATTTATAAAACCATCGGATCTTGTGAGATTTATTCACTACCATGAGAACAGTATGGGGGAAAGCACCCCCATGATTTGGTTATCTCCATCTGGCCCCACCTTTGACATGTAGGGATTATTACAATTCAAGATGAGATTTGGGAGGGGACACAGCTGCGTCATATCAAGTACTACAATGTGACTTATATTTTGATGTTCTATCAATATAAACTTACATATGTCAACTACAAAATAAATTCCATCTACAGGGTAGTGAGAAAAAAAAAACATTTGACTCTCTTAATGCTTCTATCTGAAATGAATATCTTCAAATAGTGCACAATACTTTTACATATTTGTTTTGCAAGGAAGAACTCAGGAGAGGAAAAATAAGAACTACTTTTCTGACCTTTTACTCTTGGGCTATATTATGTATTAATTTTCTCTTTATGAGAGAAGTTGGAGTTTTAAACAGAGCACTTATTAGCCATCGTAAGTGTGACCAAAAGGTGATTTAAGAGAAGATGCTTCAGTGTCTGTTTGGAGGGATGCTATGGTGTGTCTCTATTTCCTCTTCCTCTACCAGCCCTCTATCACCTTCTTTCTTCACTCTCTTCCTACCCCATCTCAGTCAATGAGTTATTGTATTTATTGCCTCAGAAAATTTCTGGAAGCATAATCACAGAGTAAAGTCAAATTGAGATTCTAAAATCTATGTGCTTTTCTTTCTTTAAAGTAGGCCATCCAGCATTACTGTTTTTTTTTTTTTTGTCTATTTTAATAACTCACAGAGGAATACCTTTGTAGTTTGCTGATGAACTTTTCATTGAATTCCAAGATAGCCTACAAAATTCATTAAGGCTTAATTTAAGAGAGAAAAAAAACACTTTGGCCATCACACACAAATAAAAATATTGATTTATTTAAAGCACTATATATATCTGCTCAGTGATAAAAATCCAGCTGTTGTGATTCATTATTCATTGATAGTAGAATTCTTGCCCTTTAGAGATGTAAATGAGAACAAATGAGTTACAGTTCTGGAGCAAGTTTTATGCACCTGAATTACTAAAGTCAGTAAAAATGAACACACATATTAACCCCTAAGTGGATTTTAAAGAAATAGTTTGTTTTTTGTTCTCAGTTTACTCTAATTTACATAATCAGAGAACATGATTAATTAAGGCAGTGTACTGTGGTAAAAACAGATTGGGACCCGAACTCCATGATGCTAACCTTGTCATCAGGTTCATTATGTTCACTCTGTTGAATGAAATTAGCAGGAGGCCACTGGTTTGAGGCTGTCTCTGTACTTGTAGATCCCACGTAACAAACTGCAGTGTAACCTAGTACATAAATAAAGGAAAACTAATATGGAGTCTAATTTTTGTAATACCTAGCCTAGTCTCAGCCAATCAAAAGCAGATGAGCTTCACCCAATCGCCCTCTGTCAACTGATCAGACCATGTTCAAATGAGGAGAACAAGCTAGCTGTAAACAATCAAGCTATTTCTGTAGTTTATTTCCATATTCTGTCTATAAATACTGCTCATGGTGCTGAGTGTAGCTCTCTGAACCTTTTCTAATTCTGAGGGCTACTGATTCATTATTTTTTTTTCATTTTGCTCAAACTGTTACATTTGTCAAAAGATTTTCTTTAAAACAACTCCTTTCTCACTCTTTTGTTTAAATATTTATTCAACAATTATTTGTACCAATTATTTATCAGATGCTGTTCTTGCCAAGGAGGAAAAAGGATAATAAGGAGGCAAGATGACTCAAGGCTTCATAGAGCTTAAAAATTCTGAGAAATAAAATAGACAATTTAAAAAGCATTTTTATAACTAGATAAAAGAACGGTGCGAAATAAAACGACAAAATGGGGGAAAGTAATGATCTAAGGGTTCTGGAAAATTTTCAGGAAGAAGTAATATCTAATACATTTTAAAATCAGTTAGTACTCGATAAAAAGTAAGGATAAAGGGCCTACGGAAATAACAAGACAACAAATGTTGAACTCTGCAAGTTAATAGAAGCATGGTCCATGCATGAAATTAAAATAAGTGCTGTTAGCTCTGCAAGGTAGAAACCCTCGCTATGAGCTTATCCAAAAATCTGACTTTTACTCTGTTACACCTAGTCTACTAAATACATTTAAATAGTCTTCCAAGTTCATACAATTTGAAAGCATATTGTTTTACATTTTGGTTGAAGAAGCTTATATGGACAATTTAATATGTTCTGTGTTTTTAGGATTAAGATATGTGTCCTAAAATGAATGGAATAGTAGAGTACTCAAATAGTAAATGGAAAAAAATTCCTTGGCTTATTAAAAAAATATAATTGCCAATAATTGTGAATGAGTAGGCATTCTTTTATCCTTAAATTTTTTCTGTTTCCTGAAGATTATCTATTTAGAAGCTATAATCTCATAGCAGGTTAGTAAATCCTTTCCCAGAAATGGACCTTTGAAGTGTTTCTTTGTTTCTCATAAGGGTGGCAAACTCCTAAATTTGTAGCTTAATTTCTATTTTCTATGACAGTGACACATAGATTGTAAGGAGGCTTTGAAACATTTTAATAATTAAGAACAGAGCCAATAATTCAAAACAAAAAGAGAGAAAGATACAGAATTTCAAGAAGAGCTATTTAAGATCAAGGAAGAGTGAAGACCATCTGAAATATTCTGACTCAATTTGGAAAAAAATATTTAGCATGTATCTCACTGAATTACAGTGAAGACTGGACATATGAAGAAGAGAAATAGAAAAAGATCTGATTAAATACTTATTTCCAGCCCAGCAACATGGTGGAAAGTGAGATAAACAGATAGAAATAAATTGTTAGTAAAAGTGGATAGTAATCTATATGGCACCAAAGTGTTTAAGCTGATAAAATCAACTGAATGTCTTGGCATAAAGTATAGGTTGCTGAAAGCTATTAATAATAATAGTAACTACATTAATGGCTATCATATTAGAACACTCATCAGATATTCTACATGGTCAGTGCATTTGAAGTATGTTAGTTACAAGAGAAAAAAACAAAACTGCCTACTCAAATTTAGCCGAAACAGGTACAACTACTATTGCCTTTTTTATTTTTAATTTTTATGGGAGTGTACGTTTATGGGGCACATGATGTATTTTGAAATGGTCATACAATGCATAATTATCACATCAGGGTAAATGGGATATCTATCCCATCAAGCATTTATTTCCTTGTGTTATAAATATTCCTGATATGCTCTTTTAGTTATTTTTAAATGTATAACAAATTTTTATTATGCTATCAAATACTAGGTCTTATTCATTATTCATTTTATATAAATATATTTTTGTATCCATTAACCATCCTCACATCCCCCATCCACTATTCATCACAACCTCTGATAACCATCATTCTACCCTCTGTCTCCATGAATTCAATTGTTTTAGTTTTTAGCTCCCACAAATGAGTAAAAATTTGCGAAGTTTGTCTTTCTGTGCTTGGCTTATTTAACTTAACATAATGTCCTCCAGTTTCGTCTAATGTTTTTATGACAGGGTCTTACTCTTTTTTATGGATGAATAGTAGTCCATTGTGTTTATTTACCATGTTTCCATTCATCTGTTCATGGACATTCTGTTGTTTCCGAATCTTCCCTATTGTAAGCAGTGCTGCAGTAAACATGGGAATGTGTATATCTCTTCAATATACTGGTTTACGTTCTTCTTGGTATATACCTAACAGTGGGATTGCAGAATCATATGGTAGTTCTATTTTCAGTTTTCTGAGAATCTCCATACTCCGCTCCATAACGATTGCACAAATTTACATCCCCAGCAACAGTGTAAAAGGGCTCCCTTTACTCCACATCCTTGCCAAAATTTGTTATTACCTGTCTTTTGCATAAAGGCCATTTTAACTGGGGTAAGATGATATCTCATTATAGCATTAATTTGCATTTCTCTGATGATTAATGATGCTAAGCACCTTTTCATATGCCTGTTTGCAATTTGTCTATCTTTTGAGAAATGTCTATTTAGACCTTTGCTCATTTTTAAGGGCTTATTAGATTTTTTCCTATAGACTTGTTTGAGATCCTTATATATTCTGATTATTAATCTCTTGTGAGATTGATGGTTTGCAAATATTTTTCTCATTCTGTGGATTGTCTCTTAGTTGTGTTGATTGTATCATTTGCTGTGCATAAGCATTTTAACTTAATGTGATCCTATTGTCCATTTTCTGCTTTGGATGCCTATACTTTGCGGATATAACTCAAGAAATCTTTGTCCAGAACAGCATCCTGGAGACCTACTCCAATGTTTTCCATTAGTAGCTTCATAGTGTGAAGTTTTAGATTTAAGTATTTAATAAATTTTGACTAGATTTTTGTATATGGCAAGAGGTAGGGGTCTAGCTTCATTCTTCTGCATAAGAATATTTAGTCCAACACCATTTATTGAAGAGACTGTCCTGTTCCCAATGTATATTCTTGACAACTTTGTCAAAAATAAGTTCGCTGTAGATGTATAGCTTTCTTTCTGCATTATATATTCTGTTTCCTTATTTTATGTGTATGTTTACCACTACCATGCTGTTTGGGCAACTATATCTTTGTAGTATAATTTGAAGTCATGTTATGTGATCCTTCCAGTTTTGTACTTTTGGCTTAGGATGGCTTTGGCTATTCTGGATCTTTTGTGGTTCCATATAAATTTTAGGATTATTTTTTCTATTTTTGTGAAGAATATCACTGATATTTTTATGGGGGTTACATTGAATCTGTAAATTGCTTTGGGTAATATGAACATTTTAACAATATTGATTCTTCCAACTCATGAACATGGATTGCCTTTCCATCTTTTGTGTGTGTTCTGTAAAATGATTTGCATCAATGTTTTATAGTTTTCACTGTAGAGATCTTTCACTTCTTTGGTTAAGTTTATTCCCAGGCAACTTATGTGTAAATGGGATTACTTCATTGATTTCTTTTGAAAATTTTTCACTGTTGCCATATAGAAATGGCATATATGTTCATTTTGTATCCTGCAACTTTATTGAATTTTTTTATCAGTTCACATAGTTTTTTTTTGATGGAGTTTGTAGGTTTTTCTAGATTATATATTACTTTTTTCATTTTAATTTAATTTATTTATCCTATATTATTTCTTTTCTTCTACTAATTTTGGGTTTGATTTGCTCTTGCTTTTCTAATTCTTTAAGATGTATCATTAGATTGTTTATTTGCAGTTTTGCTACTTTTTTGATATAGGCACTTATTGCTATAAACTTTACTCTTAGTACTGCTTTCACTATATTTCATAGATTTTGTCATGTTGTGTTTGCATTGTCATTTGTTTCCAAAATTTTTTCAGTTTCCTTCTTAATCCCCATTGACAGACTGGTCATTCAGGAGCATGTTGTTTAATTTCCATGTGTTTAGACAGTTTCCAAAGTTCAGCTTGTTATTGATTTCTTGTTTTATTACTTGTGGTCAGACAACATACTTGACATTATTTAAGTATTTTTGAATGTTTTAAGACTTGTTTTGTTGCCTAACAATATGTTCTATACTTAAGAATAATTCATGTGCTTAGGAGAATAATGGGTATTCTGCAGCCATTGGATAAAATGTTCTGTAAATATTTGTTAAATCCATTTGGCCAATAGTGCAGATTAAGTCGAATATTTCTTTGTTAATTTTCTGTCTGGATGATCTGTCCAATGCTGAAGGTAGGGTATTGAAGTCTCCAGCTATTACTGTCTTGGGGCCTGTCTCTCTCTTTAGCTCCAACAATATTTGCTCTATGCATCTGAGTGCCCCAGAGTTGGGCACAAATATATTTACAATTGTTACATCCTCTTGCTGAATTGATTGCTTTATCATTATATAATAAACTTATTTATCTCCTTTTATAGTTTTTTTTCTTAAATCTATTTTGTCTGATATAAGTATAGCTACACTGGCACTTTCTTGGTTTCAATGAGCAGGGAATATCTTTTTCATTCCTTTATTTTCAGTCTATGTGTATATTTATAGGTGAGGTGTGTTTCTTGTAAGCAACACATTATTGAAACTTGTTTTGTTTTTAACCATTCTGCAACTCTATGTCTTTTGGTGGCAAGGTAATGCAATCACTCCCTTGGCCACCCAGGCTGGTGTCTCACTACATTACATGCACGTGAAGTCCACTGGCTCTGAGCCCAGCACAACACCAAGACTTGCGCAGGAATTGAAGTCCTTGTGACTTAGACTGCCTGTCAAATTTATTTGAAGCCTCAATTAATAATTCAGTTAAACGTGAATTATTTCAAGTTTAATCTAGAGAATTCCCAAGTGCTTTAGCACACAGTGTTGGGGCTAGTCAGAATGCAGATTCTGACTGCTAGGATAGATAATTTTGTTCTGGCTAGGGCTCATCTAAATGTTCCCCCTGTGGGTGCCAGCTGAATTGTGCCCCATGTTGCTTTCCACTGTGACAAGACTGCACTGAGTTCCAATGCAAAGTCCCACAGTCACTGCGCTCTCCCTCCTCCAAGCACACAGATTTACCTCTCTGTGCCACATGACTACTCCTGGGGAATGGGTTAGGGGTGGTGTTGGCAATTCAAGAATATCATATCTACCCTCTTCAATGACTCTTTCTTTGATATGATATTAAAACAAGGTACTGTGATTCCTCATCTGTTTTTTTTTGTTGTTGTTATGAATGTACTTTCTTGTTTGGATAGTTATTCAATTTGATGTTCCTGCAGGAGGACAATTGCTGGAGATTTCTACTTGGCCATCTTGCTCCATTTCCTCCGCTATTGCAACTTAACATGAAATTGCTTAGAATTAAGAAGTTTGCATCCTGCCTCCTAGAATAAGAAATCTTACCTGAAGCTATAATTGTGATCAGTATTTTTGCCATGTGATCTCTCAAGCATTGGCTTTTCATAGATTTGACATTTTAAGAGTAAAATGGCAGCTATTTGTTCTAAATATTTTTACTACAATCAAGAAACAATTCCCATGTGTTATCTTTCTTTGCATTCTCCTGATACTATTAGAAAATATCAGCTGATTGCACAACACCTAAACATGCTTCTTAAATTAGTCTACTTAAATTGATTGTTAAATTGAGAGTATTACCTGGTACCATCATTCCTTTTCATTTCCCATTACTTTTTGATCCCAATACTTGAATTTCCTGATTTTCTCTAAATTCAGTCTTACAAGCTCCCTGTAGTGAGAGATATTACATCAATGAGTACTGGGTTTGTCCAAAGAATTGACTATTAAAGAAAATTTTATTCATTGTAAGCCTCTATTTCAGCATATGATGGGATGTGAAGAAGTAACAGTCTGCCTGAGAGCAGATGATAAGGACATGCAAAGGCAGGAGATAAAGTATAAAAATAATAAAATTATGTAAAAGTTCTATATTTTTATTATCTCATGATCCAAAAAATTTAAACAGTCAGTAATAAAAATACTCTTACCTAAGAAAAGTTTAGCTATCATAAAGTTCAAAAAAATTGTTTTTAGAGTTAAATTTTAAAAATATGTATATACACATTCAATTTATATTTTCTTGATATGTGTCCCTTATTAGATATTGTACACCACGTGGAAGTTAATTCGGAGAATTCCCAGTTACATGGTAGGCCCCTGAAACAAGCAGACTCAGTTGTAGTCATTGTTTTCTAAAATAAGTTTGTAATGGGTTGTAATCATTTGAATTCCCTTCAGGTACAATGTTTGTCTTAGCCAATATGGTTGGACATATTAGTTTTTTTCAATGGTAAATACAAAATAAACAATGATAGTATAATTGTATAGGTGAAAAAAATGGAAGTTAAATTATTTCAATTATGTCATTCTATGTGACCACTGAAAATTGTGCTTGTGTTTTAAAACTTAATACAGTAAAATAATACGTGAACTCTGAAGTGTACAGTTCCTGTTTGATAAGTTAAAATTAATTAATTAACCTATTATTGATTTGAACTTACATTTAAAATTAAATTTTTTATTTCATTTTATTGCTTTTCCTGTTTAAAAACAGAAAATATTTGCTTTGTCATTTCTAACAGGGCTGGGAAAACCGGCTAGCCATAATGCAGAAGATAAAAACTGGAGCACTTTCTTACATCATATATAAAAATCAACTCGAGATGGGTTAAAGACTTAAATGTAAAATGCAAAACCATAAAACGAAAATTCTGTAAGATAACCTAGTCAATACCATTCTGGACATAAGAATGGGCAAAGATTTCATGACAAAGACACTAAAAGCAATTGCAACAAAAGCAAAAATTGACGAATGGGATCTAATTAAACTAAAGAGTTTCTGTACAGCAAAAGAAATTATCTACAGAGTAAAAACCTACAGAATGGGAGAAAATCTTTGCAAATTATGCATCAAAAAAAGATCTAATGTCCAGTATCTATAAGGAAATTAAACAAATTTACAAGGAAGAAAACAACACTATTTAACAGTGGGAAAAGGACACGAACAGACACTTTTCTAAATAAGACATACATGCCGTCAGGAAGCTTATGGAAAAATAAAAAGCTCAACCACACTCATCATCAGAGAGATTTAAATCAAAACCACAATTAGATACCGTCTCACACTAGCCAGAATGCCTATTACTAAAAAGTAAAAATATAACAATGCTGGTGATGTTACAGAGGAAAAGGAACACTTCTACACTGTTGGTGGGAGTGTAAATTAGTTCAGCCATTGTGGAAAGCAGTGTGATTCCTCAAAGACCTAAAAACAAAACTACCATTCGACCCAGTAATTATTAATAGGTATATATCCAAATATATTATATATATATTGTTCTCTCATAAAGACACATAAACATGTGTGTTCATTGCAGCACTATTCCCAGTAGCAAAGACATAGAGTCAACCCAAATGTCCATCAATGATAGGCTGGATAAAGAAAATGTGGTGCATATACACCATGGAATACTATGCAGTCATAACAAAGAACAAGATCATGTCCTTCACAGAAACATGGATGAAGCTGGAGGCCATTATCCTTAGAAAACTAATGCAGGAACAGAAAACCAAATAGCACATGTTCTCACTTATAATGGAAGCTGTATGATGGTAACACATGGACACATAGAGGGGAGGAACAGACACTGAGGCCTACCAGATGGTGGAGAGTGAGAGGAGAAAGAGGACCAGGAAAAATAACCAATAGGTGCTAGGCATATTACCTGCCTGATGAAATAATCTGTACAACAAACCCCCACAATACGAATTTACCTATATAATGTATCCCCAAACATAAAAGTTAAAAAAATTATAAAATTAAATATCACATCAGTGGAGCAATTCAGTACTGTAGTTACCCAAATTGAACACTTTATGTTTTAACTTACAAAAATAATTTAAATAACATATTTTAATGTCACATTATAATCAAAGAATCAAAGTTCACAATATTCTCTAAACATAAAACTATTGATTATATACTTGTGCTTTTGTTGTTTTCTTTCTGCAGGTATTTGAAGAAGCCTGGATTAGTAACTGGTTCATAATTATTGTAGGTTTTATAAAGAATTTTCAGTGAGATATCCACATCAATTTAAAATGCTATTATTTCTTTTTTTTTTTTTTTTTTTTTTTTTTTGAGACGGAGTCTCGCTCTGTCGCCCAGGCTGGAGTGCAGTGGCGGGATCTCGGCTCACTGCAAGCTCCGCCTCCCGGGTTCACGCCATTCTCCTGCCTCAGCCTCCCAAGTAGCTGGGACTACAGGCGCCCGCCACTACGCCCGGCTAATTTTTTGTATTTTTAGTAGAGACGGGGTTTCACCGTTTTAGCCGGGATGGCCTCGATCTCCTGACCTCGTGATCCGCCCGCCTCGGCCTCCCAAAGTGCTGGGATTACAGGCGTGAGCCACCACGCCCGGCCAATGCTATTATTTCAAGTGAAGAGCGAAATCAATCCATTGCACTCCAACAAAGGGAAAAAGAAGTAAAAATGAGAGTATTTGAATTATTACCTGAGTTTATTTTGGAAGGTGTAATATTTTCCAAATGAAATAATGTTTATAGTTCATAAAAATTGGAAGGATGTTCAACCTTGCACATTCAAAGTATCCATACAAAAAAAAAAAGGATGATACTTAAATGATACAATTAAAAGATGACAATAAATTATTTTCTCTAATTTCTGATAATGTTGAAGATAAAATAAGTGTTATCAAGAACAAATAAATATTAATAGTAATAATAATAATAATAATAGAAGAAAGTGATGATTGCAACTGCCAAGAGCAAGAGGTAAACGAAGACATAACAAGTGAAATTATAATATTTTTAATGCCACTAATTGATCAATAAGGGTTCTAGGTAATTGCAAATTAATCTAGTTAAAAAGGGTGAACTACTTTGTAATGAACATTGTTATGCAGTTGAGTGAGAATAAGAAAAATACAAAAAAAAGGCAACTTTTTTCAACTTTACAGTTTTATATTTATCATACAGTGGAAAATGTGGGAAATTTACATTTTTTATTAAAGAATTATTTTATCTATTTGCAGATAATTAGACAAAAGCTAGAATATTCAACTTTACAAATGACTGTAGACCTAGAAAAAAAAAAAAAACCAAAATCCCTGAACTTGAATATCTAAATGATAGCTCTCATAAAATAGAAGATTTTGGCAACAGAACTAAAAATCGTTTCTTCTTTTAAACTGAAAAATCAGCATTTTATTTTTCATTTTATGTATATATGTATGTAAAAAGAAAAAAATGATGGTTACATCATACTTTGGACTTAATTACGCTTTCAACCAAACAAAACCTTCCTTTCCCTGGTCTCAAAAACATTTTATTATCAACAAATAAAGGACATCATATTAAAATTGAGGATATTACTTTCAAATAATAGCCAAAATTTGAAAAAATATTTTGTAAAAATTAGTATGCTATTTTTTTCTGAAAAGAGATTGATACAAATAATTACATTCATCTTTTGGGGCATAATGTTGAAAACAGATAGTTATAAATATTATAAATGTGAAACAGTTTAAAATTCTTGACAGCATTCTTAAGACTTTTATCATACTGCACGATAGTCAAGGATACACCACCACCACGACTGATGGTGTTGAGGCTAAAAGTCATATAAGCCTCTTTTAGAAGAATTTCCTCAATGTAATGTACTGTGAAAATTGTTTTTTATAAAATCATTTTTTACTGTCTTACCTCATCAGTGGAAAATGCTACTAAAATAAGCACAGCCATATAAAGGCTATCTAAATAGATAGAATACTCATTATGAGGCTCTAGGCAAAGGACAGACAATTTTTGGACGTTAATTCCAAACTATGAAGTACTGGGTCATCCAAAGGAAAATGTGGATACAGGAGGAGCAGCTCAGATGTTGTTCTCTGTTGCATGTTGCTTTTCTGTGGTACCTTTTTTTTAAAGGTAAAATTTAAAATGCAAATATTAATAAAACAGAAAAACATTTGCAAACAGCCAGAGTAAGACTTGAAAAAGTTATAGTGAAACATCAAACTCTTAAATTAATCCAATGAATATTAGAAAAAGAAATAATGAAGAAAGTTATTAATTTTGCAAAAAAATTGTATAGAAAGAACAAAATTTAGAAGAAAAAATTAAAAAAATTATAAAGTATGGTGATGCTCCGTTGTCAGAAGAAATCAAATAGACAATGTTTGAATGTCTCAACTGATTTGACTAACAGCTGAACAACCATTCTAAATCAATAGATCAAATGAAATCAATGTATATAAACATTTAGTAATTTTTCTTTGAAGAAAACATCAAACATATTTTTATCAAATGTGATAGAAATGCATAATGAATTCTTTGTTGAAGATATTTTTGGACTATAGAAATATTGAAAATCTGTTAGAATAAAGTCTGAAGAAATAAAATAATAAACAAAATGAGATTTTTATTGCAAGATTTATTTTTATGACTCTCTCTCAAAGTAATTATTATATTTAAGAACTTTCCTTTAAGATAACTTGTGTCAGTTAAGTAAAAAAAAAAATTTGAAATTAGAAATTTATTTAAAATATTTTTACCAATCACTTATGAAGATAAATTGAACAATTAGGCTATACCATTTATTGAACACTAATATGTAAAAAAAAAATTACAAAATTTTGACAAGTTTATAGACACTAAGATTCAAAACCAAATTGTACTGTTATCATTCATTACTGCAATAAACCAGAATTTAGGTATAAGATTTTTATGTTTACCTTTTATCAAAATATAAATTTGTATTTGTGTTTTAATTATTGCCTTTGTTTTTTTCCTTTTTATACTGTAATATTTATTTTATAGAATTTTACTGGCAAAATTATACCAAATTCTATAAAAAAATTCCCTATCTGCTTTTCTTTTTTGGCCATTATCATTATAAATTAAATTTCATTATTATTCTTAAACATAATTTTATTATGTAAAGGATAAGGGTCTTTAAAAGCAATTGGTTTTTCGAATCAAATATACTAGTATGCCATTTTTTTGGAAACATTAAAATAATTAAATCTCCCTCTAAAATTGTCTATCAGACAACATCTAAGCCCTACCTAGATTCAATATATTATGATTATTCATGCTAACTACCCTTTGTCTTGAGCACACCTTGCAAACTACTTAAAAATCCCCTGGTCACAGTAACCCAATCCATGCAAACCTCAACCTGTTTTTAAAAATGTAATCTTATAGCACCTTGCCTCAGGTTGAGGATCTTATAGTGTGATTCCTGCCCTGGAGTTTCTCTGAGACCCATATAAAGAATGTTAGCCAATTGGACTTCTTTGGAAACCTGGAAGTACAAGAGATTTATGTCAACAGGGCAACCCTGGGCCAATGAGGACAGATGGATGTTTGAGAAATATTCTTGTTTTGTCTTGGACAACCGTACACTGTATAAGGCTCCTCTGGAGGTCCAAGTGGAAACAACTCAGCTGCTTAGAGGGCATCCAGCTTAATAATACATTCTTACATCGACATTTTCTCCTTCCCTGTTTCACTCTCTTTGCCCCGGATTCCACCTCTTACCTGAGATCATATTCTGAAATAGACTAGCCTCATAGGAGCTTTGACTCAGGTTGTACTTTCAGGTGGACCCTGGGCTGAGGAACATTTAATGTGTAATCTTGGTAGTGCCTTCCCTTAGAAGTTAAATTGCATTTTTGTCAGACATATTTCATGAAGAAACAGAAAATACCTGTGTTTCTACCTAGAGTAAGTGTTCATCTTGAAAGTCACACAATAGTTTTTAAGGTTTTTACATTGATCTGTCCAGTTTTCCACTTCAAAATCGGCCCAAATTTTCTGTGACAATTCAATTCAGTGATCACAGTATCTAAGTGATTGGTCCTCAATTGCTGTTGTTACTAGCTCTCAATCTACTGCTTTAAAATGTCGCATCTTAATTTTCCACTGGATCTTAGCTCCTTACGAAGGAGTTATTCCATTTTTCTTTCTGATCTCATTTGTCCTCACCGTTAGATATTGTTGCACTATTTACCATATCCAAATTGGAAACAATTTTGATGGACAAAAGAATCTGAATGATGAATATTAAATATTATCTTCATTATGCATATGGGTGAGTTTGGAGGATGGAGGGATGATGCGTTATAATAATGAGTTTCCTAGTAATGCACCCAGTGAAAATACTCAATGGAAAAACAGATATAAACAAGAATGCAAGAAAAAAGCAGCTCAACAAACAGTATGAACAGACATCAATTCTATTTGAGGAAAATGAAAATTAAATATTTTAAATTTATACATATTATTGCCACTTTTTTATCATTTTGAATAATTATTCCTAGGAAATGGAAGTTCATTGTTTATAGAGATCTAATTTTGTCATATGAAACAAAGTGGTTTATAAATCTGAGTGTGTATTTCAATAAGAAGTTTTATTTTCCAGATAAACCTTTGAGAGTGACAGGCTTTGGGAAATCTTATTGGAAAAGAAGACTTTTGTTTTCTCAAGTGGTTTCTCTCTTATTCCTTCTCTTGAACTTCATCCTAATCTTTCCTAATCTTGATGACCCTTTTTGCTTATAAATTAACACTTGTCTATGAGGATTTAGGCTTTTTTTTTTTTTTTTTTTTTTTTTTTGAGACGGAGTTTTGCTCTTGTGGCCCAGGCTGGAAGGCAATGGTATGATCTTGGCTCACTGCAGCCTCCGCCTCCCGGGTTCAAACAATTCTCCTGCTTCAGCCTCTAGAATAGCTGGATTACCGGCATCTGCTGTCATGCCTGGCTAACTTTTTGTATTTTTAGTAGAGACAGAATTTTGCCATGTTGGCCAGGTCTCGAACTCCTGGCCTCAGGTGATCAACCCGCCTCGGCCTCCCAAAGTGCTGGGATTACAGTCGTGAGCCACCGCGCCCAGCCTTATGAAACTTTTGATTTTGAAAAAATTAGATATATACAGAAAGAAAATAGGGGAGGAAATAAAAATAATATCTGAAGACACAAATGAATTTTCAGCTGGCTGCAAATTGTGAATTATGGTAGTCGCCTTCAAAATACTATCTAATCGAGTATTTTTTTAAAGAAGAATAAACATCTATATATACTTAGAAGAACAGGTTTTATGTTAGGAACTGTTTTCCCCATTGTCCTAAACTCAAGAGAGAGACATTCCATTTTCATATTAAGATGACGTTATCTTTATATTCATTCCTAGTGTTCTGCAAACAATATTTCCTGAGTGTTCAACATTTTTCAGTTTATTTTTCTCTACATATATTTTTCTCTTAAATAAGTCATTTCCTTGCAAAGTATGGTCAATTTTTTATTTCCTCATTAGGTATATTTTACTCTTCTTCTCATCTTTGTATTCAAGATGTAAATCTAGTCTACTAAAAATGAGTGCACCTCTGCCATTCTCATCACGAGTTTAGTTTCATGTACAAGTAATGGAAGGCATTGGCTAAAGGTCATTTGTTTTGAGAACCAACACAATTTATACCCACACAGCTAAAAGTCCATATTAGCATGACTTCACTAATCTTAAACTTATCCTTGCTGCTCCAGAAAACCCTTTCTCAGAAAGATAAAAGATGCAAATAACATTATTTGTTCTTTCAGGAACTACTGAAAGCCTCTTTTAGATGAACATCACACTGCTGCACTTTCAATAAACAGCACTCACTTAGAATCTTTTCCTCAAAACCTTAGCCTTGCCCTGCCCACAAATTCTAAACTATTATTTCATTAACTAATCCTCATTGAGCCCTCACATTGAAATACATGCTTTAAATTACACCTCCAACACCTCATAAATATTCCAACTTTCCCCTCTTCTCTCTGAAACACTATTAAGACATTCTCAGAAAGTGGTATTTTGTACCATGACTAATGAATACGTTATTTTGGTGAAATTCAGTACCCTGAATCCTTTAAAATGACCACAAATCCAATAATCAATTATACGTTATATTAGAAGGGCCAAAGTTTTCATTATTCTACTTTTGGAAGACAATTCTCTATAAATTTTTTGCCTATTTCTATATCTTCTGTAACAGTGTGTGTATATATATATATACATATATATACTGTTATTACTATATATATAGTTACAAATCAACACTTATCTATGAGGATTTAGGCATTTTTTTTTTTTTTTTCTGAGACGGAGTTTCACTCAGGCTGGAATGCAATGGCACGATCTCGGCTCACTGCAGCCTCTGCCTCCTGGGTTCAAACTATATATATATATATATAGTTATATTATATATATAATACAGATATATATACTTTTATAATACAGATATATATATATAATTAGGTATATATAGTTATATTATATATACTACAGATAATTTATATAATACAGATATTATATATATAAAAATATCTTTCAAAGATGCTTATAAACAACCTTGGAAATTAGAATGCCTTTTTCTAGAGCACAGAGCATATTGGTTTGCTGTGTATGTTACCAATGACAGTGTGACTCTCTAGTCCAACTGTTGGACAGGTTTGCTAGCAGCCTTCTTATGAAAGATTGGGGATTTCCTAAGCTTGGAGTTTTCTCCTGTAACACAACTCATTGTGTGAACTGTCGTCACTTGGACTTTATCATATCACCCTGTAGGAATTAGGACTTGGGAAACTGGTGCAAATAATCTAATGTTGACTACTCCTGTTGCTGCGAGTAATAAGCTGGCTTTTGTCTCTTATGCAGGAATCTGGTTTCTTTTCCCAATATCCATAAATTTGTGGCAGGTTATCTTTTTTGCTTCCATGTAGTGTAAACTCTCAGACCCTTCATAGTTCTTGACATCTATATGAAAGATGGCAGATATAAAATTTTTTTTTTCACTAGTGAGCTTAAAAGTAAAATCTCTTTTAGAAGCTTCATTTAATTAGTCATGAACCACTCCACCCTTCCATGAAGATTATTTTGATAGATTAACTAATTGCAACTACAATCAAATAACAATTATCTAAGGGTCAGGCACTTTAAAATGTACTTCAGAGATGTGAGGCAATTTTATTTTCACGGCAAGTCAGTGTGGTATGTTTAGTTATTCCAGATATAAATATTTGGAAACAGATATCTAAAAACTAAGTAACAAGTTCCAAGTCACACAGGTGGTAATTGATAGAGCCAGATTAGTAATCAATCTGGTACTAGGACTAACAGTAAAACCCAAATTCCTCCCAGTATTCTATACTGTAACTCAGGGTCTCCGTTGAAATTTGGCATGGATATTGCCTAAAGAATCAAAAGATTGCTGACATTTGTAGTTTCCTATATGAATAACATGTTTAACTTGCTATTATTTAATAAGAAAAGGACCCGAAAGCCAACTTCACTGGTTTGGAAAGAAGCAGTCTATAATTGAGCAAAATTAAACAAATACCAGTTATTTTTTATGCTACTCATAAATATCCTTCCTTTATTATTTCTAAAATGTCATCAGCCTGACATTACAGTTACAGCTATTGAAGACAAATATATGTAAACATGTGAAGAATTTTAAAATCCAATGGATGACATGAAAACATCTTTAGAATTGTGGCCAAGCCAGAGGAGAAGACATTAAAATATCTTTAGAACTGTAGCCAAATAAGATTATGGGAACGAAGAAGAATTCAATTAGGCAGTAAGTACAAGTGGGGAATTCTACTTACCAAATCAGGTGGTTTTAAAAAATAGTTCTGCTGTCCATTAAGTACCTGGGCAGACCCTAGGACATAGAACAAGTTCCTGTAAAGTGGCTTCAAATTTATGAATGATAAACAAACACCGATAATTACAGCAAACTACTACAGCAAACAGCACAATGGTTTTTGATTTTCTACCAAATTACCCCAGCATCCCCCTTAGAAAGTCAGTTGAGGTAATGAGGTTAAGACATAATAAGAGGAGTCAGGTATAGATCACGAATACTTCATTATAAGTTTAGAATAATCAGTATCCTTTTTTATTGAGAATTCTTACTACATTTAGAAGAATGTGGCATATGTGATGCTTTATTTTGAGCTAAAATATCTAACATGATTTGATTTTTCTGTTACCAGTATTAGACTATATAAATTTATTTTATGAATTTGTTTATATTTATAAAAATTCTTTTAAAAGTTTTGAGAGTTTTTTTTACAGTTGTGAATTTTCTGTTATGCTTCTGAAATGCCTAAAAAATAAATATATTTAATTTGTAAATGTAGGAAAAACAATTTTTAAAAATTTTATTAATTAAAATTATATGCAGAGTGCTTATTTTAGGATTTTTTCTCCAATTTGATTTAATTTATATTATTCAAAGGGCTTGCTAGAAATATTTGTTATCTACTACATATAAAAATAGTAAAGTCAATTTAAAAAGTTTACTTTAAAGATTTAAATAATACTATATTTATAAATTAATGATCTGTGTATAAATTTAAAACAGTTATAGTTGCCCATAAACATTTTTAAAAATATGTTGTTACTAAAATACTATTAAGTAATTTTATAAAAATTTTGATATACAGAATTAATTTTGTGCCTTTTTGATAAAATATTTGAAGATATAAAGCCATGTCTATGTTATTGGATGTGTATAATTTTTGCATTAGCATGCTTCTACAGAGACTTTTTATAAAGTAATTGGTGGCCCTCTCTACTCGTGGTAATCTTGTGCCTTAAAATCCTTCTGATAATTAATGCGAACTTTTAGACCATCTCTTTTAACTATTACATTTATTTAGTTTATATTTATTAATTACTGATAAATTTATTTTACTAACTTATTTTTGGTTTTTCATTTATATTATTTTTCATGCTGTTTTCCTCTTCTATTTTTCTTGTTTTTTTTGATGGTTCCATCAGTGAAATATGTTATGGTGTTATTTTTCCATTGCACTTTATTTACAATTTTTTAGATTTTTTTTTTTTTTTGGCACACAAAAAGCAGTACATAAATATTGTAAGCAACTTGATGAGCTTGGAGATAAGTATACATTAGTGAAACCATCACTACAATCTATGCCATAAACGTATCCATCACCTCCAAAACTTTTATTCTGCTTTCTTATAGCCACTATTATTATTTTTGTGATAAGAACACTTATGATAAGATCTGCCTTCTTAGCAAATTTTTAAGTATACATTATTATTAGCTATAAGCACTATACCGTACAGTAGATCTCTAGAACTTATTTATTGCTAATAGCCAAAACCTTATACTGTGATTAATACCTCCAGTTTTGCCCTCCCTTAGTCCCTGTTAACTACCATTTTACTCTCTGCTTCTATGAATGTGATGATTTTAAACTTAACATATAAGTGCACTTATGTAGTATTAGTCTTTTTGTGTCTGTTTTTTTTTTCTTTTTCACTTAGGATTATGTTCTCCAGGTTTATCCATGTTGATGGCAAATGGCAGGATTTCCATCTTTTCAAGGCTAAATAGTACCTCATTGTGTATATATGCCAACTTTTCTTTATCCACTTATTAAACAATTGACATTTAGGATACTTCCAGATCTTGGCTATTGTGAATAATGCTGCAATGAACACAGGAGTGCAGATATATACCAATAAGTGAGGAGTCTAGATCATATGGTAGGTCTATTTTTAGTTTTCTGAGGAATCTCCATTCTGCTTTCCATAGTGGCTATACCAACTTTTCACATTTTGTACCTTGACCTACAATGTACAGTGTTTCCTTTTCTCCACATTTGTTATCTTTAATCTTTATGGAAACAAAATAGCTGTACATATTTATGACATACCTGTGATAATTTGATAAAAGCATACAATGTGTAATGATCAAATCTGAGTAATCAGCATATCCATCACATCAAACTTAATCATTCCTTTGTGTTGGTAATATTCATAATTCTCTCTTTTAACTATTTGAAAAAAGTCAAGAGATTATTGTTTATTATAGTTATCTAACAATGTTATAGAAGACAAGAATTTATTTCTCTTACCTACCTGTAATTTTGTAACCATTTTCTAATCTTTTCATATCTCCTCTGCTGCCCCATTACCCTTCCTAGCCTCTGGTAAACACTATTCTATTCACTATCTCCATGAGACCAATTTTTAAGCTCTTAAATATTAGAGAGAACATGCAATTTTTATCTTTCTGTGTCTGGCTTATTTCACTTATTATAATGTCCTCCAGTTTCATATATGTTTTTGCAAATGACGGGTTATTTTTTTATAGCTGAATATACAAAAAACTGTGATACATAATGTACATTTTCTTTATCCATTCATCTGTTGATGGACACTCAGGTTGCTTCCAAATCTTGGCTATTGTGAATAGTGCTACAATAAACATGGGAGCATAGATATCTCTTTGATATACTGGTTTACCTTCTTCTTGGTATATCCCTAGCAGAGGGATTGCTGGATCATGTAGTAGTTCTATTTTTAGTTTTTTGAGGAACCATTCTACTCTTCTCCATGGTGGTTGTACTAACTTGCATTCCCACCAACAGTGTACAAGGATTCCCTTTTCTCCACATTCTCATCAGCATTTGTTATTACCTGTCTAAAAGCAATCTTAACTGGGATAAGATGATATCTCATTGTAGATTTAATTTGCATTTCTCCTATGATTAATGGTGTTTAGCACCTTTTCATATGCCTGTTTTCCATTTGTATATCTTTTGAGAAATGTCTGTTCAAATACTTTGCCCACTTTTAAGATTAGATTATTAGATTTTTCCTATAGAGTTGTTTGAGATCCTTACATAGTTAGTAATCTCTTATCAGATCAATAGTTTGCAAATATTTTTTCCCATCCTGTGGGTTGTCTCTTCCCTCTGTTGATTGCTTCCTTTGTTGTACAGAAGTTTTTAGCTTGATGCAGCCCTAATTATTTATGTATTTATGTATTTATTTATTTATTTATTTATTGAGACGGAGTTTCTCGTCACACAGACTAGAGTGCAATGGCGCGATCTCGGCTCACTGCAACCTCTATCTCCTGGGTTCAAGCCATTTTCCTGCCTCAGTCTCCTGAGTAGCTGGGATTACAGGCACACACCACCATGCCCAGCTAATTTTGTATTTTTAGTAGAGATGGGGTTTCACCATGCTGGACAGGCTGGTCTCAAACTCCTGACCTCAGGTGATCCACCCACCTCGGCTTCCCAAAATGCTGGGATTACAGGTGTGAGCCACCACACCTGGCTGCAATGCCATTTATTAATTTTTGTTTTGGGTGCCTTGCTTTCTTACTCAGGAAATCTTGGCCTAGACCAAGGTCTGAAGCATTTTCTTGATATTTTCTTCTAGTAGTTTTATAGTTTCAGGTATTTCAGTTCCTAATCCATCTTTATTTGATTTGTATGGTAAGAGGTAGGAATAGAGTTTTATTCTTCACATAGATATTCTGTTTTTCCAGGACAATTTATTAATGAGACTGTGCTTTTCTCAATGTATATTCTCGATGCCTTTGTTAAAAATGATTTGGTTGAAAATGCATGCATTTATTTCTGGGTTCTTTATTCTGTTCCATTGGTCTATTTGTCTGTTTTTATGTCAGTACAATGTTTGTTTGGTTACTATAACTTTGTAGTGTATTTTGAAGTCATGCAATGTGCTCTAGCTATGTCCCTTTTTTGCCCTTAGGATTACTTTGGCTATTTTGGGTCTTTTGTAGTTCCAAACAAATTTTATGATTGTGTTTTTATTTCTGTAAAGAAGTCATTTGTATTTTGATGAATTATATTAAATTTATAAATCAGTTTGGGTAATATGGACATTTTGAAAATATTAATTTCTCCAATTCATGAACATAGAATATCTTTCTTTTTTCTTTATTTTTCAATTTATTTCATCAGTGTTTTATGGTTTCCATTGTACAGATGTATTGATAACTATTTAATCTTCTTATTTGTTATTGGAATTTTCAGGCTATTTCTCCTTGATTGATTCTTGGTAAGTTGTACATTTCTATTTATGAATTTTTTCTATGTTGTCCAGCTTTTTGCTGTATACTTGAGCTGTTCATAATAGTTATTTGTGTGTGTGTGTGTGTTTTAATTTCTGTGCCAGTGGTTTTAATGTTTTCTCTTCTATTTCTGATTTTATTTATTTTAGTCTTTTCTCTTAGCTAATGGTCTGTCAATTTTATTTTTTTCAAAGAACCATATTTTATATTATTGATTTTTCTATTCTTTATTTCATTTATTTCTGCTCTTTCCTTTCCTTTCTTCTGTTAACTTGGTTTAGTTTGTTCTTTTGTTCAAATTCTTCATATTGTTATATTAGGTTGTTAATTTAACATTCTTCTTCATTTTTAACGTAGTAATTAAATTCTAGAATCAAGAAGATAGGTTCAAGATGGCTGACTAAAAGCAGCTAGTGTGCACCATTCACATGGAGAGGAAACAAAGTGGCAAGTAAATACTAGCTCTTCAACTGGATCTTCTAAAAGACCATGTCAGGATTCACTAAGGAAGTAAGGGACGCACAGAGAACAGAGAGGTATGAAGCCAGGAAACCACCTCTCTGGGACTAAAGTGGAGCCAAGTGATGTTCCCTAACATGGGGAAAAGGTGAGTGATTGAGAGTCCCCAGAGAATTCATATTTTCCACACAGACCTTTGCTATCCTGGGCAGGGGAGAACACCCATAACTCCCCCAGACCTCCAGAGAGCTGCCTGGAGTTTTTGCAGAGGCATTACTCAAGCACACATGGAGCCCTGCAGGCCCTGGATCCCTGAGTAGATTGACTGCGGCTGTTGTAGCCCTGATAGAGGAAGCAGTCATGATGAAGAGGAGTGACCAGACTACCCCACTCTTCTTCACCAGGTGAGGTTCAACTCTGGCATCCAGTGCAGTGAACCTGCCCCGACCTGGGCTCTGTGGGA
The DNA here is from genome assembly GCF_000001405.40 of Homo sapiens. NCBI lineage: Eukaryota > Metazoa > Chordata > Mammalia > Primates > Hominidae > Homo > Homo sapiens. Next base: position 124,385 of record NW_015148967.1, read on the forward strand.
AAGCACAGCTCTATGTTCCCTGAGGAACCTTCTGGATGATAGACCATGTGACCTTTTTCTCCCACTGCTCCTAGCCAGACAAGGCTTGCCAACTTGGGTTTCCAGTGCAGCAATCCAGTCCCTGCCTGAACTCTGTGGGCAGGCATAGTTCTGTATTTCCCTGGGAATCACACAGGATGAAGACTGTGAAACCCCCTGCCCCTGCTGCTTCTAGTTAGGTAAGGCTCACTGGCTTGGGCTTCCAGTGCAACAGTCTTACCCTTGCCTGACCAGTATGGTTGGTTGTGCCTCTGTGTTCCTCTGGAGCAAAACTCCTAGAGGTAACAATGCTGGGCACCTCTGCATGCTCCCAACAGTTAACCTCAACAGTGCTTAGATGGAAGGGAAGTGTGAGTGTGTCACATGCTCCACAGCTGCCAATCTCCATTGCTCAGCTGAGGAGACCTGCTTTTCCCAGTAAAAGGCCCACAGCACAGCTATCCTGCCTCCACCAAATCATTCCACTTGTGGTTCAGAACTCCTCTGAAAACCCAACCCCAAAAGATCTGTGACATTCCCTCAGGTTCTCATCACCTAAACGTACTGTCTGCCCCTGCCTGAGAATCTGGCCAGCGTCCTGGGGACCAGCCTGTTCATCCCACTGAAAGCCAGCACCTGGACTAGCTCGACTGAAATGCAGCCCTGCCAGGATTTATGCAAGCTGTCTAGTGGGCCATTTAGGGACTTGGGAACTGGAGAACAACCTGCCCCACTCCAACTCTGTTGGCACTTGACCACTTCCTCTAGGGCCAGAGGTTGGGCTGACCCAATCAACTGATACCACCACAACCAACACACATGAGCATGGGATCAAATGTGGAAACCTTTTACAAGAGACAGTAGCACTGCCACATCAGAGAATAGACAAGTATTAAAGCTATCTGTGTCAGGTTGTAGGACGAGGTTATGCCTTGAAACCACTCCCATGGAGAGTAGCAAAACAGATGTTTCCTGTGGCTCTCAACCCCATTGTGGTCTGGAGATAGACTATAGTCTGCCTCTGAACTAGGAGTCATGAGCCATTGAACAGGGTGTGATAGGTAAAAATAAAAGAAATCACATTCCTGGCTGTCTAGGACAGGGAGCCGGCGCAGGTCCCTTACCAACCACCAGCCTAACAAAAACCTCAGTGCACTACACCAGGAGCTCCTCCCAGCCATCCTCTTTAGGGCTGGTGCTTGCACTTGCCATCAGGATATTTGTGAGTAATCCAGGGGCTCCAGCTCCACTGAACTGTATCCCCCCCTTCCCGTAGGAAGGAAGCTCAGGGAGCTAGACATCCCACTAGCCCATCACCTATCACGGGAAACAACAGGACAGTGCCTCACAGTAACAGAGATCAGGTCCAAACCCACCTGCTTGTGTGACAGCTGGCTCTCACCAGCAAACGCCATACACTGGCCTGTAGGTCAAACTGCACAGCCTAATACAAAACCTTCCATCAAAAGTGCATAGGACTATAGAAGCCAAGACAAAAGACACTACCTAAAACAACCTCCAGATGAGAAAGAACCAGCATAATAATTCTGCCATCATAAAAAATCTGAATGTTGTGATACCACCAAAGGCTCACTCCAGGTCTCTAGCAATCTAGGTCTCTAGCTGAAATGGAGGCAAAGAGATGACTGATGGATAATTCAAAGCATGGATTGCAGAAAATTCAAACAAGATCCAAGTCAAAGCTGAAAATCAATACAAAAGAACCTCTAAAGCAATCCAGGAAATAAAGGAAGAGGTAAACATCTTAAAAAGAAATGAATCAGAGCTACTAGAATTGGAAACCTCACTTAAGGAATTTTAAAACACAACTGAAAGATTTATCCATAGTCTAGACTGAGCAGGAGAAAGAATTGTAGAGCTTAAAGACCAGTCTTTTGAACTAATCCAGTCAGATAAAAATAAAGAAAAAAATTTTTAAATGAACAAAGTCTCTGAGAAATATAAGATTATGTAAAGCAACCCAAACTATGAATTGTTGACATTTCTGAGAGAGAAGGAGACAAAGTGAACAACCCGAAAAATGTATTTGAGGAAATAATCCAAGAACATTTTCCTAACCTTGCTAGAGAAGTAGACATTCAAAACAAAAACGCCCGAGAACACTGGCCAGATGCTATACAAAATGAACACCACCAAGGTAAGTGGTCACCAGAATGTCTAAGGCGAACACTAAAGAAAAAATCTTAAAGGCAGCTAGAGAAAAAGGCCAGATTGCACACAAAGGAAACCTGTCAAGTTAACAGCAGACATCTCAGTAGAACTCCTGTAAGCCAGAAGAGACTGGGGGCCGATTTTCAGCATTCTCAAAGAAAGGGGACTACAGCCAAGAATTTCATAACTTGCCAAACCAAGCTTTATAAATGAAGGAGAAATAAAACATTTTTCAGATAAGCAAGTGCTAAGCAAATTCATTACCACTAGGCCAGCTTTACAAAAGTTTATAAAGGAATTTCTAATCACAGAAACAAAAGAATGATACCTGTTACCACAAAACTACACCTAGGTACATAACCCACAGACCCTTGAAAGGAACTACACAGTAGAAGCGATCAAACAGCTAACAACTTCACAATCAAATCAAAACCTCAGATATCAAAATTAACTCTGAATGTAAATCCTTCTCATGCCTCCCCAAACCCCGCCCCCGACCTTTTTTTCTTTTTTGAGACAGAGTCTCACTCTGTCGCCCAGGCTGGAGTGCAGTGGCATGATCTCAACTCACTGCAACCTCTGCCTCCCGGGTTCAAAGGATTCTCATGCCTCAGCCTCCCGAGTAGCTGAGATTGCTGGCACCCACCACCAAACCTGGCGATTTTTTGTATTTTTAGTAGAGGTAGAGTTTCACCATGTTGGCCAGACTGGTCTCAAATTCCCGATCTCAAATGGTCCGCCTGCCTTGCCCTCCCAAAGTGCTTGGACTACAGGTGTGCAACACCACTCCTGGCCCTAATGCTCCACTTAAAAGGCACCAAGTGGCATGTTGGAAACAAACAAACAAAGACCGGGCCAGGCACAGTGGCTCACGCCTGTAATCCCAGCACTTTGGGAGGCCAAGGCGGGTGGATCACTTGAGGTTAGGGAGTTCCAGGGCAGCCTGGCCAACATGATGAAAACCGTCTCTGCTAAAAATACAAAAATTAGCTGGGCGTGGTGGCACATGCCTGTAATCCCATCACTTTGGGAGGCCAAGGCGGGTGGATCACTTGAGGTTAGGGAGTTCCAGGGCAGCCTGGCCAACATGATGAAATCCCGTCTCTGCTAAAAATACAAAAATTAGCTGGGCGTGGTGGCACATGCCTGTAATCCCAGCTACTTGGGAGGCTGAGGCAGGAGAATCGCTTGAACCCGGGAGGCTGAGGTTGCAGTGAGCCAAAATTATGTCACTGCACTTCAGCCTGGGTGACAGAGTGGGATTCCATCTCAAAAAACAAAAACAAAAACAAAACAAGACCAGCGGGGTGAGAAGGCTCAGGCCTGTAATCCCAGCCCTTTGAGAGGCTGGGGCGGGCAGATCATTTGAGGTCAGGAATTTGAGACCAGCCTGACCAACATGGAGAAACTCCGTCTCTATTGAAAATACAAAAAATTAGCCAGGTGTGGTGGTGCAGGCCTATAATCTCAGCTACTGGGGAGGGTGAGACAGGAGAATCGCTTGAACCCGGGAGTCGGAAATTGCAGTCAGCCTGAGATCATGCCACAGCACTCCACCCTGGGTGACAGAGCAAGACTTTGTCTCAAAAAATAACAATAAAATACACATTCATCTGCTGAGACCCATCTCAACCGTAATACCCATAGACTCAAGGTAAAGAGTTGGAGAAAGATCTATTATACAAACGGAAAACAAAAAAGAACAGAGTTGCTATTTTTATATTTCATATCAGCTGTTTTCATATCAGCTTTAACCAATTACAGTAAAAAAGGACAAAGAAGGCCGTTACATAATGATAAAGGCTTCAATCCAACGAGATGACTTAACTATCCTAAATATATATGCACTTCACATTGGAGCAGTCAGATCCATAAGACAAATACTTTTGAACCTACAAAAAGACTTAGCCACACAATAATAATGAGGGACTTCAACATACCACTGACAGTTGTAGAGAGATCAAGGCAGAAAACTAACAAAAGAAATTCTGTACTTAAATTTGACCCTTGACCAATTGGACCTACTAGACGTCTACAGGGAACTCCACCCATCAACCACAGAATATACATTCTTCTCATTTACACACACAGCATACTCAAAGATTGATCACGTGCTTGCCCACAAAGCAAGTCTCAATAAATTTAAAAACTTAAAATCATACCAGTCATACTCTCAGGTCACTTTATAATAATAATATAAATCAATATCAAGAGTATCTCTCAAAACCACACAATTGCATGGAAATAAAATAACTTACTCTTGAATGACCCTTGGGTAAACTATGAAATTAAGGCAAGAATTAAAAAAAAAATTAGAAGTAAATGAAAGCAGAGACACAACATACCTAAATCTCTGGTATGCAGTGAACGTAATGTTAAGTGGAAAGTTTATAGCACTAAATGCCTACATTAAGAAATTAGAAACATCTGAACCTAAAAATCTAAGATCACCTGGAGGAAGTTGAAAAACAAGAAAAAATTAACCCCAAAAGTATTAGAGGAAAAAAATTAACTAAAATCAGAGTAAACTGAATAAAGTTGAGACCCAAAAATCTATACAAAGGATGAACAAAACCAAATGTTGTTCTTTGAAAGGGTAAACAAGATGGACACATCACTAGCTAGATTAATGAAGAAAAAAAGAGAGAGGATGCAAGCAAGTGCAATCAGAAATGACAAGGGTGACATTACAGCTGATCCCACAGTGAATACCTCTATGCACATAAACTAGAAAATCTAGAGACAACGGATACATTTTCTGGAAACACACAAACTCCAAAGACTGAGTAGAGTCAGTCAAAGGAAGAAATAAAAACTTCAAATAGACAAATATCAATTTTCAAAATTGAATCAGTAATAAAAATTATCTACCAACCAAAAAGAGCCCTGGAACAGATGGATTCACAGCTGAATTCTACCAGACATACAAAGAAGAGCTGGTAACAATCTTATGGAAATGGCTTCAAAAAATTGAGGAGGGATTCCTCCCTAACTCATACTACAAAGTCAGTGTCACTCTGATACCAAAATCTGGCAAAGACACAACAGAAAAAGAAAACTACAGGCCAATATCCATGATGAGCATAGACACAAAAAATTCTCAGCAAAATACTAGCAAATCGAATCTCACAGCACATCAAAAAGTTAACTTACCATGATCAAGTAGTCTTTATTCCAGGGATGCAGGGCTGGTTCAACATACGCAAATCAATAAACGCAATTCACCATACACACACATAAAAACAGAATTAAAAACAAAAATCATATGATCATCTCAATAGATGCAGAGGAAGCTTTTCATACAATCCAGTGTCCCTTTGTGATGGAAACTCTCAACAAATTAAGCATCAAAGGAACGTACTTCAAAATAACCCAAGCCATCTACGACAAACCTACAGCCAGCATCATACTCAATGGCCAAAAGCTAGAAGCATTCCCCTTCAGAACTACAGCAGGATGCTTACCACTCCTGTCTAATGTAGTCCTGGGGGTCCTTGCCAGAAAATCACACAAGTAGAAGAAAAAAAAGTCATCCATATAGGAAAAGAAGAAGTCAAGTTGTCCCTGTTTGCTGATAATATGAATATATACCTAGAGAACCTTGGAAATTCTGCTTAAAGGCTCCTAGAACTGATAAACTACTTCAGTGGGTTTCAGGATGTGGAATAAATGCACAACAACTGGTAATATTTCTATACACTAATAGCATTATATCTTGTTAGTGATGTATCCAAATGCTGGTGACTTTTGTATGTTGATTTCGTATCTTGCAAGTTTGCTGAATTTATTAGTTCTAGCAGTATTTTGTTGGAGTTTTTAGGGCTTTCTATATACAAGATTACATCATCTGCAAACAAAGACAGTTTGATTCCTCCTTTCCAATCTAGATGCCTTTGATTTTGTTCTTTAATTGCTCTGGTTTGACTATTCAGTGCTGTGTTGAGTGGGAGTTATGGGGCTGGGCATCTTTGTTTTGTTCCAGCTCTTAGAGAAAAATCTTACATTGTTTTTCTGGTTTAACGTGATATTGGCTGTACATTTGTCATAGAGGGCCTTTGTTGGGTTGAAGTGCATTTGTTCTACCTAATTTGTTGAGTGTCATGAAGGAATATTGAATTTTGTCATGTCCTTTTTTTGCATCTATTTAAATGTTGTAGTGGTCCTTGAGTCTGTCGTCCTAGTCAAAAATCTGGGAGGATGCCACCATACCTAGAGGAGGACATGAGGGCATCACATCTCACATTCTGTGGACATGACCTGATTATGATGTGACTGGTGAGTATCTGACTCCCCAAACAGAACTGAGGTCCAGGGATTGTCACTTGTTTTGTTCAATAAATTGTCAATTGTCTAGAAAAGTGACAATAAAAATTAAGTACTTAATATATGTGTGGTAATTAAATTAATCTCAACCAGAAGAAAAGTAATTAAATTCTATAGATTCCTCTCTTCATACTGCTTTTGGTGTATCCTAGAATTTGTTTTAATATTGTTTTTATTTTTGTCTCTCTCTCTCTCTCGATATATATATATGTGTGTGTGTGTGTGTGTGTGTGTGTGCATAAATTATATACACATAAATTTTTGCTTTGGATTTCTTCTTTGACCCAATAATTGTTCAAGAGTATGTAGTTTAAATTCCATATATTTAAATTTTTTTAAGTTCACTCTATTTATTCTTTCCTGGTTTATTCCATTGTGGTTAAAAATGATACTTGACATGGCTTTAATCTTAAATTTGTTAAGACTTGTTTTGTGACCTACCGTGTGATCTATTCTGGAGAATGTTCCATGTACATTTGAGAAGCATGTGAGAATGCAGCTGCTGTTGTGTAGAATTTTGTGTATGTATCTGTCAGATTCATTTCATGTATAGCGTAGTTCGAGTGTGCTATTTTCTTATTGATAAGTGCAGTATGAAGAATCTGACAATCATTGCATTGCTGTCTACTTCTCCCTTCACATCTTGTCAATATTTGCTTCATATATTTGGGTGCACTGATGTTGAGTGTATGTGTATCAATTATTGTTATATATGCCTGTTGAATTTATCCTTTTATTATTATGTAATGGCCTTATTCATCTGGCACTGGGGTGGGTCTGGAGTCTCGATCTGCAGGGATTGACTCCTTCTTTGTTTTTCTTTTTTCCCATGTATTCACTTGATTGAGATTTCTAGATATTACGATTTCCCTCTCTTCTTTGCTTATTTATTCTAAAATACTAATTAATAAATGCTAAAATAATAATACCATTAATCATTATCTTTAGTATTTCTAAACAAATGCTTAACATAAAATCCAAAACAAACTAAGGCTTTTCCCCATACTCATGAACAATTCAAAAGCTTACAGGTTTTAAAACTCTTCTGGACCTTTTCAGGCTGCAGGTTTTGGTCTCTTAAGTTTTCTATCTTGTTCCTGTAAATCATTTCTACATCTTGTTCCTGTAGATTAATTCTGAATGACAGTTTAGATGGGAATACATTTTAGGTTGACTATTATTTTTTCTCAGCCTTTTAAATTACATTGTGTCATCACTGTTGCTATTAAGAAGTATGTTATAAATTAAATTATTCTTCTCTTCTACCTGAATGCTTTTACAAACTTCATATTTGACATTATTTTTCTTCAGTCTTATTCAATTTTCCAGTCTTGTAACTAGATATGGATTTATACACAATCTCACCAATACTTGCCACTGACAGATTTTATCATTCTCCTGAATTTTTTGAATAGGTAACGATATCTTGTTATGTTTTGTATTTGCATTTTCCTGATAATTAAAATCAGAAACTTTTCATATGTTTATAAAAGCTATTTGGTTATCCTTTCTTGTGAAGTTTTGTGCATATTTCTTTGCCATTTTGCAAATAGGTTGTCATTATTTTTTTCCAATTAAATTTTCATTAGCCCAGTAAAATTTATTTAAATGGATATTCTTGCACTTCGCCTTTGCCATAAGTCCAGTAAATATATAAACGTGAGCTTGTTTCTGGACTTGTTCCCTTTCAGTTCTTCTCAAAGTGTTATACCCAGACCAGTAGCAACAGCTTTACCCAAAAATTTAGTGTAAATGGGAACTCCTCCCCTATTTCTACTGAATCTTTCTTCAGATGATTATGATCTACAATAAAGTTTGGGAACCACTGTCCTATTCTGTTTCATTGGTCTACTTGCATATACTTGCATAATACCAACTATATTAATTATCATAGTCCTATATCAGCCTTTCATTTGTCATTTTAGACACACACACATCTGTTGGGATGTAAATCTGCTTCATTTTTTTCTCAATAATGTTTTGTGAATTTCTGATTAGTGGTCTTGCACATCATTTATTAGATACATTCTAAAAGACATTGCATTGTTAGAAATAGTGTTCAATTTTACTTCAATTTGTTTATTGGTGATGTAAGAAAAAAATTGTATTTTATCTTGTTTTCTGTTATCTTTCAATTCACTTTTTAATTTAATAATATAAATGTAGACTCTATGATTGTCTAAGAACCTAATTAGACAGTCTTACAGTAACAGCTTAACTTTCTCTGTTCCAATCTTTATTTTTTTCTTACCTTAGTCTATTAGCTTGAAATTTCAGTATACCTTTTAATATTATAGTTTTTGGCTGGTGCCACCATCTTTTCTCCACCTCAGGAATGAAGCTTTTAATATTTTATTATTATCCACATTATGCTTTGCAATTTGAAACTGAGGTATTTTCTAGTCTTTTATTCCCTTTGAAAATGCTGAACTAAAGTTTTATCTTTTCAGCTCCATGAAAATTGTAAAAACTTGCCTCTGCTTTTAAGAGACTCCCTTTGTGGTTTTTTGAGGCTACTGCCCTGGTCAACTTAATCACTTGATAAATACGTAGTTGCCAATTGTCCTGGTCATTTCTCTGAACTCTTCTTCTCTTCCAAATATTGGGCCCTCAAATTCTACTTCCTTTGAAAATCAGAATTCTAGATCGCATATCCTATATCCTTTGAAATTTATATCATCTTTACTGACTCTTCTGCAACTAAATGAATATTATTTTCATGAGCTTCCCTTTACAATTTTTAACATGCTTATGTTATACTCTCTATTTCATAATTTTTATCATTTGAAGTTTTTGTGGGTCAGATACTTTTTCGTATTTTTTTTTCCTGAGATCACTCTTTAATGGTTGAAGTTGCAATCATGTGGCTTTTAAATTTGGATTGTGAGCATAATTCTCTGAAAATACTGTTTAATGTTGGATTAAAATGCATATATCCAACTAAATTTTAATTTCGCCTTTACTGGACACCCAGTACATCACTCACTAGGGAACATTATGTTAATATTTCAGTTTTCAATTTTAAACACTCAATATGTTATGTAATTGAAGTAGCTAAACCTGCTTGACAGTGGAACATTGTAATAACTGGACTCTTTTTTTGTTTTGTCAAAGCACAGGCAAATTTCTAAACTTTTCCTGACAGACTCTCATCTTCTTTTATTGGTGATTAAATTTTATTTCCAGTTCATGTTTTTAAAAATTCTATTCTTCAGGTTATAGCCTTTATAGAAACCTGACTATATGGAGAGTCCTCTCTCCAATTTTTTTTAATATACAGGCTCTTTGTCAAGACACTTTTTTTCATCTATACATGAGCAACAACATAGAAATCTTAATCCCATCTACCCCTCAAGATATACCTAACCTGGGACTTCTGCAAAATTGTTTTATTTAACAATGTTCTTTTTTCTTTCATTAACTGCTGCTCAATAATTTACTAAGTGGCTATTTATTTTTGGTTCTCTATTTTCTGATACTTGAAGTTGAGATATACATTAAAATTTTATTTTTGATATTTTATTCTTTAGGTGTTTGAAGCAAGAGAGTATCCAGGTGCCTACAAAATACCTAGTCACACATTAAATAAATGGTTGATAGAATAACTAATCCATTCATTTATCATGCTAAAAATATTTGCAGATATAGAGTACCATGCCATCACATAGACTGAAATAATTGTTGTCAATCTTACAGAATTTGAAACAAATGGATCAACACATTACAAGTCAGACTACCTCCACAATAACTTAGGGACTAAAAATCTCTACATTTAAATGATATATGCTCAGTTAAATCAAGTATATAAATAGTAATTTATCCCTTACAAAACTGCAGCAATCAGCAACTTCCTTTGCTGCTTAAATTAGAATTAAATATCTAGTTCATATTAAACAAGTACAATAAGTTAAAATATTGAAGTGACAACCATTAGGATGGCAAGTACAATTTTAGAAGAATGTCAAGCACCAGGAAAGGCAGTTTTCAAATGAATATTGGAGCAAGAGAGAGTTCTTTCTATAGCAGAGTAGAGTCAGCAAGGCTGCCCATAACTGAACTTTATCACAGAACACAGACTTGCATGGCTGAAAAAGATAGTGCTTCCATGCCAAATAGAAAGTGTGTAGTGAGCTTGGCAGCACAAGCAAGCACTTTCAGCAAGAAAGCAGACGAGGAGTGTGGCAGACCATTCACTTTCATAGGGAATGGATAAATAGCCAGGAGAATAAAAATAGACAATGCCATGTTTTCTATTAATTGAGAATAAAATTATGCTTCTCTTCCCACTTCCTTTTGATGAATATTAATCACTTCATGCTATTTTAAAATTGTGAAGCTGCACTAAAATATCTGTGGTACACTAGGAAACAAGGCCATAATTTTCTACATTTGCATTACTTAAAACACATGAGTGGCAAAATATTTTCATGTTTTTATATACCTGTGTCATTCTAAATCAGTTCGTCTAAGTACATACATATAAACGCACCCATGAAGTAAATATTTTGTGTATATTTCAGTTGTTAAAATTATGACATACTCTAAAATCCACAATTTTAAAATATAATTATATCAAGATAATTTAGACATATATGCCATTGGAAAAAGTCTAACTAGATTTTACTAAGAAAGTAATTCTATTGTACATACTGCCAATTATTTGTTTTTAATAATAAGTTCATTTGTATCTTCTGATGAAATATCATAGAAAAAATATAATTAGTATAGTAATAATATTAGATGCACATGACTTATTTCAGCATTGTGGTTCAAGTTCTTATATCAGAAGAAATACATTTCCAAGAACTTTAATAGGTTGTAAAGAAAGTGATTTTAAAAAGAATCATTTTAGTATCTTTAAAGTGTTTACAATTGTTTCAATAATATTTTTCTATAAGCATAGAGTGAAAGAATAGTGACTAAAATAAATTATAACAAATCATATTATAATGCTAGAAATTTTATTTAGTACATCATGAAAAGATGATATGAATTGAAACGATTATCTTTTCACAGCACAAGTTTCTCCAATGTATTTCCAAAACACTCTAATTTATAAGGACCATAAAATAAAATCTCAGGACATGGAATATTAGATTTTATTTTACCAGTATTGAAAAACTGATTGTAAATTTTAGCTCCATATTTGTCAGTATTAAATTTTCTACCCAGGGACATGTGATTACAGGCTAAAAAACTAAAATATGAGCTTGGATCATGTAATGTTTTTACTGCCTCACAGCAAAATAGTAAACATCTAGAATCTGATTTGTGTTAAACAAAAATTGATCATAATTGAAGTTTGGTTCCCTATTTCCAAAGTTCTTAGCTATGTGATTAAACCTCAGAGTTGTTCAGACTACTATTTGGCCAGAAACAGCTCATATTAAAATGGTTTGCTCAGCGTCTCTCCAAAGAGAATCACTTAGTTTCATTGTGGCTTTGCTGAGGAAAAGTTCTGCTTCAATATCTAGTGGTCTGTGTACCAAATGTACTCGATTTCTGTTCTTGCTATGACCTTGTTTACTTGTATCCTCTTATCTACAACTGACAATTTACCTGAACTAGAGCTGCATAGGATTAAGTTGCCAAGACATAAGGGAAAAGATATTGAGAAAGCAAAGAGGCAAATATATCTTTATAACTTGCAAGCCATTTCATTAATATCTGACTTGCCTTTCAGGTCAAAGAGACACTTTCTCCTCCTGCTATAACACATTTATCTAGGGTGGATTTTGGGGTGTCACATAACTATGATAGTTTGTGATTGATCTCTGTCTCTGCATAGAGAATGGACAGATTGACAACGATGATGATAATAAATACACAAACTTGACTGAGAACCAAAATGTAAAAGGTCAAAGCAAATAATAGAAATAGGTAGAACATGGGCTAATTACATTATTTTATTAATATTTAAATATAATTATTACCACTTACAGTTTAAAGTTGAAGAAACTGAGGATTTGAGCTTTTAATTACACCACCCAGTGTCATACAGCGGTAGAGCTACAAGTGAAATTTAGATATCCTGAGCTAGCCGGCAATTTTTACCCTATGTCGTACTGGTGGTTGGGTGGCTGGCTATTTAGTGCAGTTTTGGAGAAATACATAATTTAACAAGGGCTGGGTCATGCTACTCAGAGGTGATAAAATGCTAGTGACAGGTGTAAGCAGTGGATCTGAAAACTCATAAAGAATAAGGCCTCCCACATCAGAAGCCAAAAAATTATAAAGCAATTAAGCAATAGACATGAGCTTGATTAAGTTGAGGGATTTTGGTTGAGATATCTAAAAATTAGAAAGAAATCCATGATTTAAAGAGCTTACCAGGGCTGAATAAAAGCAGGTACAACTGAATTGCTCTCATAAGATTAGTGAGGCCAACAGAAGCTCAAAAAAGGAAGGCTGTTTAAACATAGAAGACCACCCTCTTAGGTGTTAAGAATAATCTATATAAAAAATGATCAACATCATAATCACTAGTTTAAAATAAAATTTTATATTTATACTCTTTAAGGTCTTTACATTCTTCTGTTATGTTCATTGCATTATATTTAAACATAATCCATAAGTTTATTTAGAGAGTAACAATATTATCTATCTGAATTAAGAAAAAAAGTTGGTGAAGAAACAATTTTATCTTATAAATATTGCAATTATCCTCTAAATCGTAGTTGTTTTTTTTTATAAGTCAAATAAGCCAAAATTGCTAATAGTGCAATTTAATTAGCCCTAATTAAGATGTGGCATGTTACCAAATATAATTACAGTGTTTTTTTTTTCATGAGGTTACATTTCATAATGCATTAAATGTTATTATAGGTTGTGGGCATTTTATCCTTAGTAAGTAAGCTGATACTTAGCTATGGTTATTTTTATGAGATAAATTAAACAACTACTAAATTTTTCTCTAATGTAATTTATTTGGATAGGTCTAACAAAATTTTTTGGTCATACAATATTTCCAATGGTGGAAACATCATGTGAAAATAACTATGTTATTAGAGAGAATCAAGTTTGTTTCTGGAATAACTGCATCATCTAAACACTTGAGAATCCTGTAGCTTTTCCAAATCTAATCTAAACTTAAAAATATTAGTTCTTCTATAATTTGTCACCAACACCACTCCCCAAGGAATAGTTATGTGTGTACAGTAGGCCAGAAGAGATTGAACAGTTCTTAGAAATTTTAGAATTCCCTGAATTAAATTACTGTTGTATTTTTGGATCAAACAATATTTTATTTTATTTTTACAATGTTGTTGCACCATTATAAATTATTTACAAAGTTTGACAATAAGCTTAGCTGTCACTTGTTTACAATCTGTGTAATAGTAAGTGTTGTTTTATAGCTAAGAAAACCAGAATAATTCAAATTTTAGATAAGGAAGGAAAATATTACTTTGACAAAATCATTGTACCTAATGACAAATTATTGCACCTTATATGATAATTCATTTAAGCTAAGCCATTGACATTTCTAGTTAAAATGCAAATGTCTTTTGGATAAAAGACTTAATAATAGTAATAACAACACCCTTTGACTGGTCCAATACTAGCACTTTGCTAGTGCAAGTATCACTATTTACTTAGACTAGAAAACTAATGCTAAATTTTATATGGCACATAAGAAATTAAGATTCATGCAATGTGGACATGCTACACAAGTAGGCTATGTGTATGTTACACTGTCTTGCACAATTTAATGACATTAATAAGCACCGTGTATTAGCAATAGTTGCAAATAGATTCAAATACAGAGATTCAGTTCAATTCAGTACATATCTACAGATGCATATTAAGTAACTTCTCTTAACCTGCGATTTCATTTTAGGCATCTAGAAGAAATGATATTAATCTGGCCTTCAGTGGGACAATGTTTAATAGAAGTGATAAAAATAAAAGCAAAGCCTACCATAGACATTTAAAAATTTAATAAAAGGAATATGCAATAAGTAAAGTGGATGCATAGAGAAGGGAGTAATTCACTTATCTTAAGGGTGGGGTCAAGAAAATCCTTAAAGTTCAATTTTAGAAAGTAAATAAAATTCAGATAAAGGACAGTAAACTATGCTCAAATAGGAAATACTTATGGTCAGAAGGGAATAGTACTCAGTACTGATTGATAGAAATGAGTAAAGGGTAGGCAAGAATCTATTAGAGCATAACATGCTGCCAAGAGGGCAGCCTCACATATTGTGATATGGGCAAACGATGGCCCATAGTCCAATTTCAGTTTGTAACCTGTTTTTGTGTTGGCACATCAACTAAGAATAATTGTTATATTTTTAAACACTGTCAAAAAATTAAATAACAGATATATACAAAACCATAATTATGCTATCCATCGTTCACTCCAAAACCATAATCATCCTCCAGTGTCTGTGGCCTATAATGTCTAAAATATTTATTCTCTGACCTTTACAGAAAAAGTTTACCAACCGAACATTACTGTAAGCATAAAGGCACCAAAGGAATAAGTGAGAAAATTTAAAAGATTAAAACGGCAAGGAAGAAAACAGTAAATTCAGTAAAAGTGTCCCAGTGATGCTAAGGACAACTTTAAATTATTTCAAAATTGTGTCCTATATAGAATGGATGAAAAGAATCAAAAAGAGTTTTAAATATTATCACACTAAAAGAGAGATTCTAAAGAGGCTAAAATAAATTTTAAAGCGTAAAATAAATGATGTTATATATTTTTGAATCAAAGCTTTACTTATCAATTATTATGTCAATAATTCTTATAATATTGTATCCGTTTCTCACCTGAGCTCCAGAAATATATAGCCAATAGTTCATTTTACATTTCCACTAAGAATATCTACTTCATATATACAAAACCATAATTATGCTATCCATCATTCACTCAAAACCATAATCATCCTCCAGCATTATGCTCAGTTGCTGGTGCAACCATTCAAATTGTTACATTAAAAATACTCTTAATAATTATTTCTCCCCCTTTCTCATATTCTCAGTCACCAAATTTTATTGATTTTACCTATTTAAATTCTTCAAACCAATTCTTGTCTCTTCACCTCCCCAACTATTTATTTTAGACTAGCAGGAGATACTTTTCTTATCTTGACCACTCTATTCATTTCTTAATTGGATTTCCCTTTCCACTTGTGCATCCGCCATGCCATCCTAATCAGTGTAGTATAAATGACTTCCAAAGTAAAATTTTCAAAGGCATATAATAGCATACAATAGCAAATCTGTCTTGTGAAAATTCTGCAACGACTTAAAGAACATCTATGGAAAACTTAATATTATACTTAATGATGAAAGACAATGTTTTCCTCTAAAAAAAAAAAGCAAAGGTGCCTGCTCTCACCATTTTTATTGAACATTTTGTTAGAGATCTAATGTAATAACATAAGGAAAAGAGGTAATGGTGATAATTATTAGAAATTAAGAATTAATTTTGTTTTATTTAAAGGTGGCTGTAGAAACTGATAAGTAAATTTAGAAAGTTTGCAGTTACAAGGTCAATATACAAGAGTTAATTTTATACATAACAACAGTGAACATTAGCAAAAAAAATAAGCCAGAAGGCAAGCAAACAATAAATCCACATATAATAGTATAAAACAAAATACTAAGAAATAAATTTAACCTAAAATTTCAAAAAAAAAAAACACTACAAAACCTCAGAAAGACATTTTTAATAAAGCCAAAATCAATGGAAGAATATCCCACGTTCATCAACTGAAACACTCACTATTATTAGGATCACAATTTTATCAGATTGTTCTGTAGACTCTATGCACTCCAAATCAAAATTCCAGCAAGATTTTTGGAGTAAATTGGGAAGCTGACTTTAAAATCTATAGGCGAAGGCAAAGGATCCTGAAGAAGAAAAATAATTTTTAAAAGAAAAGCAATTTTGGAATACTAACACCACCTAATTTCAAGTCTTACTTTAAAGGTACACTGATATTAGAAAGAAGATAGATTCAAGGAACACAATAGAGAGTACACATATAGACCCATACTTCACTGGTTAATTGGTTTGACAAACTGCCATGATAATTCAGTTAGATAATAACTTTCTATTAACAACTTCATATATCTGGAAAAATGAATCTCAATACATATTTTATATCATAAGAAATTCAAAGTAGACATTGACGTAAGTGCATGAATTAAAATTACGACACTTAAAGAAGAAAATATAGAAGAAAATCATTGTGAATTTGTGTTAGGCAAAGATTTTCAAACACTATATAAAAAAGAACAATCCCCCAAATAAAAAAAAATAATGATTTTAATGAAGTTTAAAAACTTTTACTCTTTGAAGAAAATGAAAGGGCAAGCTAGAGACTGCAAAAATATTTGAAAAACACCAATCTGATAACTGACTTATATTAAGAATACATAAAGATATCTCAAAAATCAGTAATAAGTACAAAATCTAATTTTAAATGGATAAATTATTTAAATAAGCACTTTAAAAGTTACAAGGCTGGCAAATAAGCACATGAAATGATGGTCAATATCACTAGTCATTAATGATATTCAAATTAAAATTACAATTACAAATAACAATACATCCAATACAATAAAGATAAAATTCCTGATATGACTAAGTGTTTGCAAGAATAAAGTTCAGCTGTAAATATCATGCAGGTATCGCTGTAGAAATTCAAAACAATATGGACACCAACTTCTGAAAACTTGATATGGCAGTATTGTATAAGGTTAAAAATTAGTTTTTACAGAACCTAGTAATCTCACTTCTAGGTGTTTTTCTAAGTGAAGTACATTCACACATGAATAGGCATGTGCATGTCAATAGTGGCATTATTTATATTAGCCATAATATGGAAGACTACCTAAATATTTATCCAGTTGAAAATAGATATAAAACATGTGTTATATTTATCCTGTGTGGCCACAGTCCATCTTAATTACCTCTTTAAAGACCACATCTCCAATACAGTCACATTGGAAGGTACTCAGGGATAGGAATTCAACATATGTGTTTTGAGGAGCGCAGTTCGGCCCATAACAGTGGGTCATGAATTTTACAGGGAAGCAAGAGAACCTTTTAGAATGATGTCATGTCTATAACATGTTTGCGGTGGAAATTACATGATTGAATACAATTATCAGCACCAAATTGTATCGTTAGAAAGAGTGAATTTTATTTTATGTAATGCTTACATCTGAAAGTTAAACAAATTAATAAATCAACTTTCAAAGTTCTTGTAGTTTGGGCTATCTTTACTCTTTATTAAAATGAAGGTGCTTCTGAAAAAATTTACAAGTTAAATGAAAAAAAAATTATGGTATTTTTACTAACATATCATACTATATACTATTTTCACCCCCCATTCTACAAAGTTTATTATAGCACCTTTCATTCAGATAACATTGATGCACTCTATAGCTATGTATTGACAGGTTATATGGACCTCTTGTTCAAGCTGACACTCACTGATACATGACTACCTAGGACTCTACATGGCAGATCACTGGCTTGAAAGTCATTAGTTTGTTTAGAAAACTCTGATAGTTCTCTCATTTACCTCCAGATGTTTCTGTCATTGTAAAAAATGTATCATATAGAAAATTTCTTAAAAGAATAAAAGAGTTAACAAAATTTAACTTAAAAAATAACATGAAAGTCAAGGAAATCAATGGAGATGATCCTCAGTCTTACCATATTTGGTTAAAAGAATTAAAAATAAAGTGTTCTAAAAGTTCAATGAGTAGCTTTTTAAAAAAAGTGCAAAGAGTTTTTGTTTTGTTTTGTTTTTTGCTAAAAAGAATGTGATTATATTTAAACAGAAACTACATTTTGCTTTAAGTCTAAGACCAATGTCTATATACATTCTCCTTTAAAAATATTACCTTTTCCTTTCTATCTTTTTTAAAAAAAGAAAAAGGGGAGGAAGGAAGAAAAAAAGTGATATGGTTTGGCTCTGTGTTCCCACTCAAATCTCATCTTGAATTGTAATCCCCACATGTCGAGGGAGGGACTTGTAATCTGGACGTGTTGAGGGAAAGAGGTGATTGGATCATGGGGACAGTTTCCCACCTGCTGTTCTCGTGACACTGAGTGAGTTCTCATGAGAGCTGATGGTTTTTAGAAGGGGCTCTTCCCCCTTTGCTCACAATCTGTCTCTCTTGCCGCCATGTGAAGAAGGTGCCTACATCCCCTTCACCTTCCACCCTGACAGTAAGTTTCTTCAGGCCTCCCCAGCCATGTGGAACTGTGAGTCAATTAAATCTCTTTTCATTATAAATTACCCAGTCTCAGTCATTTATAACAGTGTGAAAATGGACTAATACACTAAATTGATACTGTGGACAATAGGGTACAGCTATAAAGATAACCTGAAAATGTGGAAGCTACTTTTGAACTGGGTAATAGGCAGAGGCTGGAATAGGTGGAGACAGGTTCAGAAGAAGATAGGAAGATTTGGGAAAGTTTGGAACTTCCTAGAGGCTTGTCAAAGGGTTTTGATCAAAATGCTGATAGTGATGTAAACAACAAAAACCAGGCTGAGTTGGTCTCACATGCAGATGAGAAACTTATTGGGAATTGGAGCAAAGATCACTCTTTCTATGCTTTAACAAAGAGACTGGCAGAATTATGCTGCTGCCCTAGAGATCTGTGGAATTTGGAACCTGAGAGAGATGATTTAGGGTGTCTGGTGGAAGAAATTTCTAAGCAGCAAAGCATTCAAGAGGTGACAAAGCATAAAAGTTTGGAAAATTTGCAGCCTAACCATGTGGTAGAAAAAAATCTATTTTCCGGGACTAAATTCAAGCCAGCTGCAGAAATTTGCATATGTAATGAGGAGTCCAAAGTTAATCACCAAGACAATGGGCAAAATATCTCCAGGGCATGTCAGAGACCTTCACAACAGCCCATCCCATCACATGCCTGGAGGTATAGAAGGGAAAAATGGTTTCATGGGCCAGGCCCAGGGCCTGGCTACTGCTGTATGCAGCCTCAGGACTTGGTGCTCTGTGTCCCAGCGACTCTAGCTCCAGCCATGGCTAAAAGAGGCCAAGGTACAGCTCAGGCTGTTGCTTCAGAGGGTACACGCCCCAAGCCTTTGTGATTTCCATGTAGTGTTGGGCCTGTGGGTGCACCGAAGTCAAAAATTGAGGTTTGGAAACCTCTGCCTAGATTTCAGAAGATTTGTGGAAATGCCTGGATGTTCAGGCAGAAGTCTGCTGCAGGAGCAGAGCCCTCATGTAGAACCTCTGTTAAGGCAGTGTGGGAGGGAAATGTGGGGTTGCAGCCCCCACACAGAGCCCCCACTGAGACACTGCCTAGTGGAGCTGTGAGAAGAAGGCCATCATCCTCCAGACCCCAAAATTTTACGTCTACCACCAGTTTGCTCTGTGTTCCTGGTAAAGCTACAGGCACTCAGTGCCAGCCCATGAAGGTACTGCCCAAGGCTGTGAAAGCCCATCCCTCGCATCAGTGTGTTCCAGGTATGAAACCTGCAGTTAAAGATGATTTGGGGGCTTTAAGATTTAATGACTGCCCCACTGGATTTCAGAATTGCAAGAGGCCTGTAGCACCTTTGCTTTGGCCAATTTCTCCTATTTGGAATGGGAGCATTTACCCAATGCCTGTACCCACATTGTATTTAGGAAGTAACTAACTTGCTTTTGATTTTACAGGTTTATAGGTAGAAAGGACTTACCTTGTCTCAGATGAGACTTTGGACTGTGGACTTTTGAGTGAGCACTGAAATGAGTTAAGACTTTGTGGGACTGTTGGGAAGGCACAGTTGGTTTTGAAATGTGAAAACACATGAGATTTTGGAGGGGTTAGTGGTGGAATGATATAGCTTGGCTCTGTGTGCCCACCCAAATCTCATCTCGAATTGCAATACCTACGTGTCAAGGGAGGGACCTGTAAATCTTGTGTGTCAAGGGAGGAAGGTGATTGGATTATGGGGGCAGTTTCCCCCATGCTGTTCTCAGTATAGTGAGAGCAGTATAGTAAGAGTGAGTTCTCAGGATATCTGATGGTTTTATAAGTGCCTCTTCTTCCCCCTTCACTCACACTCTTTATCCTGCTGCCTTGTAAAGAGAGTGCCTGCTTCCCTTTCATCTTCCATCATGATTGTATGTTTCCTCAGGCCTCCCCAGCCATGCAGAACTGTGAGTCAATTAAGCCTCTTTCCTTTATAAATTAGCCAGTCTCAGGTATTTCTCTATGGCAGTGCAAAAATAAACTAATACAAGAAGGAAGAAAAAAGTATTTGTTAAATATTAATTTTATTTTAACATTATAGAAATAAATATTAGTTTGAATATGATTGAGGCCTTCTTAAGTCATATTTCCTAAGTATCTGGATCTTTTGGGCAAAGATTCCATACTAAAAGAGAGAAATCAATTAAAAATAAATTGAATCTACTTTTATCAGAAAGCTATAGAATTCCTTCCATTTTGCTTCACCACCCAGTCCTCTTTGTATTTAATTCCAATTAAGATAAATAAAAGAAGGACACTCAGAAATTCTTAGTTCAAGCTGGGTGCAGTGGCTCACACCTGTAATCCTGGCACTTTGGGAGGCACAGGCAGGTGGATCACTTGAGGTCAGGAGTTCAAGACCAGCCTGGCCAACATGGTGAAACCCCGTCTCTACTAAAAATACAAAAATTAGCTGGACATGGTGGCTCATGCCTGTAGTCCCAGCTACTCGGGAGGCTGAGGCAGTAGAATCACTTGAACCTGGGAGGCAGAGGTTGCAGTGAGCTGAGATAGTGCCACTGCATTCCAGCCTGGATGACTGAGTGAGACTCCATCTCAATAAATAAATAAATAAATACATACATACATACATAAATAAGAAAGAAATCCTTAGTACACACAGACTGAATGATCAAATAAAATTAGCCACTTGAAACAAGTGCTTCTAGGACTACCAGTTTGGGGTACAATTTGGTAACAAAACAAATCAAAAATTAATTTCTCTACATTTTTTAGATCATAATTCACTTTTATAAAATTAGGAACTACATATCCAACAAAATTAGTTGTGGAATTTCAGAGCAAGGTGAGAATGGCTGGGATGTTTCTCAAACCCATCTCCTCTACATTCCTAAGTACCTTCAGCCTTCTAGGTCATTAAACTCAGGTCATTCAAACACTGGCTTTGAATTTAGGAAAATCCTCAGGACACTTGTCTATCAGTCCATGTCTAGTCATGATGGAAATCTTTGAGTCAAAATTCCACTATTAACGTTTCCCTGGCTTTTTCAATTCTGAGACACAATTGCTAGAATTCCTCTAGTGTTCTATTTAGATGAGGGCCCTACTTTGATGTTTAATTTTGGTAGAGATTGAACTTTTATCTGGTTCATGAGTGGAGTATGGTGATAGTATTTTGCTCAGCTTTACGAGGTATACAAATCTCTATTTCCTGGTAACATGTCCTACTTTCCTAAAGCACAGATTATTTTTTTTTATTATTTGTAAATTTTTAATCAACAAATAAAAATTATATATATTTAGTATGTACAACATGTTATTGTGAAATATGTATGCATTGTAGAATGGCTAAATTGAGCTAATTAACAGGTGAATTTCTTAGATTCTCTTTTTTAGCATTGGAGCTGTTTTTCCACTGTCTTCCTCTCTCTCTATGACATAGCACCCCCTACTGCATGGTCCCTCAACTGGGTACATTTCTTCACACTTTGGCAATAGTCTGCTTATGGGTTGCTTGCAAAATTCAAGGAGTGAGACTGTCAGAACAGAAGCTTACAGCTTAGTAAACATTAGGATGGGTCAGCTAGTAATTAGATCTGTTAATAAGGGTGAGGCAGGTACTTATACACAATATAAGTAGACCAGATTTCAGGAGAAGGTTTATACGTAAGATAGAGCCCAGCATACAGTCAGTATACTTACAGATAATCAAGAGACATCAAAGCAGGTTTTTATGTCTTAAAGAAATACGAATTTATAATTAAGAAGATCTAATAACTGGGAATGAAGATCGTGGACTATTAAAGAAAGACTAGAAGAAAATACCATACAGAAAACCAGACTGATACAGCATCAGAGTCCTGTCTTCAGGAAGGCCATGTAACTGGATAGGGTTTAAGAAACAAACTCTGCCTACAAATATTACTGAAAGGAAAGCAAAACCCCTCATCTCATAGAAGCCAGGAAGTTAGAAGGATTAATTTAACCTCCTCAGTTACCCTCACCTACACATTCTAAGATGGATAATTTAAAACTGTTTTAATAGAATAGGAGTATACTGTAATAGTTTATTAAAATATCTGGATCACCTTTATTAAGATAATTTTAAAGTCTTTTAAGGGTGTTCTTTCAAATGTCCTAATAAAATTTCCACTATGGGAGTCATACATTTATGTTAAATAAAATGTTTTCAAGGGGTTTCTGTTTAGCTAACATCTTGAAATACAATTAAACACTTAATGCAGCTAAATAACTCAACATTTAAACTCTTCAAAGTTATATCTCCCATATCCTCCTACAAAAGGTTTTAAAAGATAGAAAAATGGCCATTGTCAATGGAAAAATGACTACTCAGGATTATCATGTGCGTACGTACATGTGTCTGTGTGCACTTGTGTATGTGTTTATGATTCATTTTTTTAAATGTTTTTCTATGAATAGACAATTTTAAGGTGTATCAAATCTGCTTTCTCTTAAAGTCATTTTTGTCTCATTTAAAGTAAAAGCTTTTTCTAAAATAAAAGCTAATAATGTTTATAAGACAAACATATTAAGGAAATAATTAAAATACCCATGTGCAGATATTTTATATTTCTTAGTCCCTGGAGAGAAAAATTAAAGGAATAATTTGTGTATGTGAAGCTGTGTATTACTTTGTTGTTTGTGCAACTATTTTTTGCACAGTTTGTATGTATACATATAGCATTCCTCCCCGCCAAAAAATTTCCACAACTTTTAAGGATAGCTTTCCAAATAATACAAAATCAAAAGTTTCTAGGTTTTAGCCTCTCTACCTAAAAACTAAAGAATTGAATTCAAATTATCCAGTAATATAAAATTTTGACTCTTTATAATTACTTTTTAGTTATTTCAATCAAACATGTTAACATCTGAGTAAATTATTTACATTTGTTTTTAAAATGTTACTCTGAAATATAAAAGTTACCTAGAACTTTACACAAATATGGCCTATTTTCTTAAAAAAGTGCTTGAACTGAAATATTCTCAGACCAAAAACAATGTGAGCACATTAATTATAGATTATTATTTATACAATTATTAGAAGACAGAATATCATTCATATAACTTTATACTGTAGCTACAATTTACATTTTTAAAATTTTCAATTATAATATTTTATATGAAATATAATCACTTTTAATTTTTACTATTCATAGCTACCTTATTTAGAAGGACTAAAATTTTAGATGATGTGACTGTATGTAATTTTGTTAACATGAAATTTTTATACATTGTGTTAATCCCTTATTGTTCATAAAGCTTAGTAACAGGCCGGGCGCGGTGGCTCACGCCTGTAATCCCAGCACTTTGGGAGGCCGAGGCGGGTGGATCATGAGGTCAGGAGATCGAGACCATCCTGGCTAACAAGGTGAAACCCTGTCTCTACTAAAAATACAAAAAATTAGCCGGGCGCGGTGGCGGGCGCCTGTAGTCCCAGCTACTCGGGAGGCTGAGGCAGGAGAATGGCGTGAACCCGGGAAGCGGAGCTTGCAGTGAGCCGAGATTGCGCCACTGCAGTCCGCAGTCCGTCCTGGGCGACAGAGCGAGACTCCATCTCAAAAAAAAAAAAAAAAAAAAAAAAAAAGCTTAGTAACAAATACATGCTATATTCTCAGCTACACAAAGGGAACAGAGTTTGTAAAAGTTGGGGTGGGAACTCACAGGTAATTTACATTTGCCAATTAACTTTACCCAAAACAAAAGTCAACTTTCCACTATCTTCCTGACAGGATATAGTTTGACAAGGCACCTGGCGAAGTTAAGCTCCTACTTTCCCACAGAAACTGAGAGATAGGGGTGCTTTCTTCCTTGATGATTACATTTCTGAGGTGATTCCCAGGTCCTTAAGAAAGACATTCTTGGGTTATCACAAGGGTAAGAGGCTTTTATAAGAATTTACACCTCAAAGGGGCATGGGAAGTACTTACAATTACACATTTTCTAATGTAAATTCACTGAGAAAAAGAAAGGTACCTATGGTCAGGAATAAGACTTCTTGGGTGCTTTACTTCCAACTATGTGGTCAATTTTGGAATAACTGTGGTGTGGTGCTGAAAAGAATGTATATTCTATTGATTTGGGGTGGAGAGCTCTGTAGATGTCTATTAGGTCTGCTTGGTGCAGAGCTGAGTTCACTCCTCAGCAAATGTAAAAGAACAGAAATTGTAACAAACTGTCTCTCAGACCATAGTGCAATCAAACTAGAACTCAGGATTAAGAAACTCACTCAAAACTGCTCAACTACATGGACACTGAACAACCTGCTCCTGAATGACTACTGGGTACATAACGAAATGAAGGCAAAAATAAAGATGTTGCTTGAAACTAACGAGAACAAAGACACAACATACCAGAATCTCTGGGACACAGATACAGCAGTGTTTATAGGAATATTACTAGCAATAAATTCCCACAGGATAAAGCAGGAAAGATCTAAAATTGACACCCTAACACCACAATTAAAAGAACTAGAGAAGCAAGAGCAAACACATTCAAAAGCTAGCAGAAGGTAAGAAATAACTAAGATCAGAGCAGAACTGAAGGAGATAAATACACAAAAAATCCTTCGAAAATCAATGAATCCAGGAGCTGGTTTTTTGAAAAGATCAACAAAATTGATAGACCGCTAGCAAGATTGATAAAGAAGAAAAGAGAGAAGAATCAAACAGACGCAATAAAAAATAACAAAGGGGTTATCACCTTTGATCCCACAGAAATACAAACTACCATCAGAAAATACTATAAACACCTCTAAGAAAATAAACTAGAAAAATGTAGAATAAATGGATAAAATGTAAACATACACCCTCCCAAGACTAAACCAGGAAGAAGTTGAATCTCTGAATAGACCAATAACAGGCTGTGAAATTGAGGCAATAATCAATAGCTTACCAACCAAAAAAAGTCCAGGACCAGATGGATTCACAGCCAAATTCTACCAGAGGTACAAGGAGGAGTGGGTACCATTCCTTCTGAAACTATTCCAATCAATAGAAAAAGAGGGAATCCTCCCTAACTCATTTTATGAGGCTAGCATCATCCTGATACCAAAGCCTGGCAGAGACACAACAAACAAAGAGAATTTTAGACCAATATCCCTGATGAACATCGATGCAAAAATCCTCAATGAAATACTGGCAAACCGAATCCAGCAGCACATCTAAAAGCTTATCCACCATGATCAAGTGGGCTTCATCCCTGGGATGCAAGGCTGGTTCAACATACGAAAATCAATAAACGTAATCCATCATATAAACAGAACCAAAGACAAAACCACATGATATCTCAATAGATGCAGAAAAGGCCTTTGGCAATATTCAACAGCACTTCATGCTAAAAACTCTCAATAAACTAGATATCGATGGAATGTATCTCAAAATAATAAGAGCTAATTATGACAAACCCACAGCCAATACCATACTGAATGGGCAAAAACTGGAAGCATTCCCTTTGAAAACTGGCACAAGACAGGGATGCCCTCTCTCACCACTCCTATTCAACATAGTGTTGGAAGTTCTGGCCAGGGCAATCATGCAGAAGAAGGAAATAAAGGGTATTCAGTTAGGAAAAGAGGAATTCAAATTGTCCCTGTGTGCAGATGACATGGTTGTATATTTAGAAAACCCCATCGTCTCAGCCCCAAATGTCCTTAAGCTGATAAGCAAATTCAGCAAAGTCTCAGGATACAAAATCAATGTGCAAAAATCACAAGCATTCTTATACATCAATAACAGACAGAGAGCCAAATCATGAGTGAACTCCCATTCACAATTGCTTCAAAGAGAATAAAATACCTAGGAATACAATTTGCAAGGGATGTGAAGGACCTCTTCAAGGAGAACTACAAACCACTGCTCAATGAAATAAAAGAGGATAAAACAAATGGAAGAACATTCCATGCTCATGGGTAGGAAAAATCAATATTGTGAAAATGGCCACACTGCCCAAGGTAATTTATAGATTCAAGGCCATCCCCATCAAGCTACCAATGACTTTCTTCACAGAACTGGAAAAAACTACTTTAAAGTTCATATGGAACCAAAAAACAGCCCACATTGCCAAGTCAATCCTAAGCCAAAAGAACAAAACTGGAGGCATCACCCTACCTGACTTCAAACTATACTACAAGGCTACAGTAACCACAAGAGCATGGTACTGGTACCAAAACAGAGATACAGACCAACGGAAAAGAACAGAGCCCTCAGAAATAATGCCACATATCTACAACTATCTGATCTTTGACAAACCTGACAAAAACAAGAAATGGGGAAAGGATTCCCTATTTAATAAACGGTGCTGGGAAAACTGGTTAGCCATATGTAGAAAGCTGAAACTGGATCCCTTCCTTACACCTTATACAAAAATTAATTTGAGATGGATTAAATACTTACATGTTAGACCTAAAACCATAAAAACCCTAGAAGAAAACCTAGGCATTACCATTCAGGACATAGGCATGGGCAAGGACTTCATGTCTAAAACACCAAAAGCAATGGCAACAAAAGCTAAAATTGACAAATGGGATCTAATTAAACTAAAGAGCTTCTGCACAGCAAAAGAAACTACCATCAGAGTGAACAGGCAACCTACAGAATGGGAGAAAATTTTTGCAATCTACTCATCTGACAAAGGGCTAATATCCAGAATCTACAAAGAACTCAAACAAATTTACAAGAAAAAATGAAACAACCCCATCAACAAGTGGGCGAAGGCTATGAACAGACACTTCTCAAAAGAAGACATTTATGCAGCCAAAAGACACATGAAAAAATGCTCATCATCACTGGCCATCAGAGAAATGCAAATCAAAACCACAATGAGATATCATCTCACACCAGTTAGAATGGCGATCATTAAAAAGTCAGGAAACGAGAGGTGCTGGAGAGGACGTGGAGAAATAGGAACACTTTTACACTGTTGGTGGGACTGTAAACTAGTTCAACCATTGTGGAAGTCAGTGTGGCGATTCCTCAGGGATCTAGAACTAGAAATACCATTTGACCCAGCCATCCCATTACTGGGTATATACCCAAAGGATTATAAATCATGCTGCTATAAAGACAAATGCACACGTATGATTATTACAGCACTATTCACAATAGCAAAGACTTGGAACCAACCCAAATGTCCAACAATGATAGACTGGATTAAGAAAATGTGGCACATATACACCATGGAATACTAAGCAGCCATAAAAAATGATGAGTTCATGTACTTTGTAGGGACATGGATGAAGCTGGAAACCATCATTCTCAGCAAACTATCGCAAGGTCAAAAAACCAAACACCGCATGTTCTCACTCATAGGTGGGAATTGAACAATAAGAACACAGGACACAGGAGTGGGAACATCACACACTGGGGTCTGTTGTGGGGTGGGGGGAGGCAGGAAAGATAGCATTAGGAGATATACCTAGTGTTAAATGACGAGTTAGTGGGTGCAGCACACCTACATGGCACATGTATACATATGTAACAAACCTGCACATTGTGCACATGTACCCTAAAACTTAAAGTATATTAAAAAAAAAAAAAAAAAGAGTTCTTGAGTCCAGGCCAGGCTCCATGGCTCACGCCTATAATCCTAGCACTTTGGAGGCCGAGGCAGACAGATCACCAGTCAAGAGATCAAGACCATCATGGCTAACATGTCAAAACCCCACCTCTACTAAAAATACAAAAAAATTAGCTGGGTATGGTGACACGTGCCTATAGTCCCAGCTACTTGGGAGGCTGAGGCAGAAGAATTGCTTGAATCCAGGAGGTGGAGGTTGCAGTGACCTGATTTGAGCCACTGCACTCCAGCCTGGGCGACAAAGTGAGACTCCTTCTCAAAAAAAAAAAAAAAAAAAAAAAAAAAATTCTTGAGTACAGTCAAATTGAAGGGGAACAGTCAAATTAAAGGCTGTCTTGGTCATCTCTAAAGATAAAGTTTATGCTTCAGCATGGCTCTTTACAATTTGTGTGGAACTTTTGTTTAGAAATTATTTTTTAGTACGGTCAAAAATTAGTTTAATTGAATTGCTTCTAGGCATAAACAAAATTTTAATTTCTGACATACACTTGCTTAATTTAAAACAAATAACATAAATCAAAGTATAAACTAGAAACCATTATTAAAAGTTTTTATTTTTAAAAGTATTCTAAACTCCATAAAATATTTTTATGAGAGCAACATTGATAAAAGTATTACTTTACTGAGTATTTATCAAATGTATTTTACAAAATAAAGGATAAAGAATGCTTACCCAGGCGAGGCCCAACAAACACCATGTCCCCAGAAAATAAGAATCTCCCAGAGTGTTGGTAAAATGATCCAGCATTGCTATGAAAGCCTTTATTGGGGTAATACAATTTCTAAATATGCATCATTTCAAAAGAAAACAGTGATCGGTACAAATATTTATATGTAAGTATCTATGACTATGTCAATGAAAAGAGTCAAACTTGTAAAATATTTAAAGAGATTTATTCTGAGCCAAATACAAGTGATCATGGCCTGTGACACAGCCCTCCGGAGGTCCTGAGAATATGTGCCCAAGGTGGTCGAGGGCGCAGGTTGGTTTTATTCATTTTAGGGAGACAGAAGACTTCAATCAAATACATTTAAGAAATACATTGGTTTGGTCCAGAAAATTGAGACAACTTGGAAGGGGGTGAGGGGGATGCTTTCAGATTATAGGTAGATTAAAAAATTTCTTGTTGACAATTGGTTGAGTTTAAAGACCTGGGATCAACAGAAAGAAAATGTCTGGATTGAGATAAGAGGTTGTAGAGACCAAAGTTTAATCATGCAGATGAAGCCTCCAGGTAGCAGGCTTCAGAGGGAATAGCTGTAAATGCTTCTTGATCAGACTTAAAGGTCTATGTTGATTTTAACACTGGAGAGGTATACTGAGACATGTTAGACACTTACTTCCCGTTATGGCCTGAACCAGCCCTGAATGAGGAGAAAGTCCATTCAGATGGCTGGGGGCCCTTCGAATTTTATTTTTGGTTTACAAAGATAACCAAACCCAGATTTGGCTTCTCACCAATCAAAAACCAAACTCAAAAGACAAGAGCTAGTGGGAAGAAAAGCAGGTTTATTCAGAGAACTAACCAAGAAGATGGTGAAAGTACCATATTAAGTTAGTACAAAGTTAGTACAAATATCAGGCACTTTTATTTTATTTTATTTTATTTTATTTTATTTTATTTTATTTTATTTTATTTTTTTGAGACAGAGTCTCCCTCTGTCGCCCAGGCTGGAGTGCAGTGGCGCTATCTCGGCTCACTGCAAGCTCCGCTTCCCGGGTTCACGCCATTCTCCTGCCTCAGCCTCCCGAGTAGCTGGGACTACAGGCGCCGGCCACCACGCCCGGCTAATTTTTTGTATTTTTAGTAGAGATGGGGTTTCACCATGTTAGCCGGGATGGTCTCGATCTCCTGACCTCGTTATCCACCCGCCTCGGCCCCCCAAAGTGCTGGGATTACAGGCGTGAGCCACCGCGCCCGGTATCAGGCACTTTTTTGTTAAGGGCAGGAGGAAGAAAGGTTGCAATCAAGAGTGACCCATGACCTCAAACATCTGAGTGCCAGTGAGGGTCCTAGGTCCTAGGACATAGGGAATTTATTTGTCTTTGGTCAGGCCACAGTGCTCCTATAAATCTTTAACAAAACATAATTAGTCGTTTACACACTTGCCGTTAAATCCCAGAGTTAGTTTCAAAAACTGGAAGATTGCTGGTTTTGCATTTTATCCAAGTGCTCTAAAATTATCCTACTCTACAGGTGGGAATGGGTAAAGGCCCCTTAACCCAAAATGGAGTGAATTACGTTCATTCTTTCACTGTTTCACTATCACATTGGTCAGGTGCAATGGCTCTTACCTGTAATCCCTGCTCTTTATGAGGCCAAGCTAAGAGGATCGTTTGAAGTTAGAGGATTGAGACCAGCCTGGGCAATGTAGTGAGACCCGATCTCTACAAAAACTTTTAAAAAAATTATTGGGATGTAGTGGTGAGTGCTCATAATTCTATCTACTCAGGAAGCTAAGGAAGGAGGTTAACTTGAGCCCAGGAGTTCTAGACTTCAGTGAGCTATGATCACACCATTGCACTCCAGCCTGAGCAACGGAGAGAAAGACCCTGTCTCTAAACAAACAAACAAAAAAGAAATTATACATGATATAAATGTCCATTAAAAATAAGCGAAAAAGAGATAACAAGTGTTGACAAGGGTGAAAAGGAAAACTTTGTATACTGTTAGAGGGACTGTAGAGTGGCGTGGGCATTATGGAAAATAGTACGCAGATTTCCAAATAAATTAAAAATAGAATTCTCACATGATGCAGCAATCTCTCCTCTAGGTATATACCCAAAGGAAATGAAATTACCATTTTGTAAAGATATTCGTATCCTCATATTCACGGCCATACTATTCACAATAGCCAAGATAGGGAAACAACCTGTGTTTGCTAATGGATGAATGAATTTAAAAAATTGTGGTATGTATGTGTGTGTGTGTATGTGCATATATATATATATATATATATATATATATATATATATATATCACAGTTTTAAAAATCATTTCATATAGTACATGTGTATACAGACACATACACACACACACACACACAGAGACACACACACACAATGGATTATTCTGCTTTTAAAAATAAGGATATCTGTCATTTGCCACAACAAGGATGAATCTGGAGGACATTTTGTTAAGTAACATAAGCCAGACACAGAAAGAAATATATTGTAGATCTCACTTATACATGGAATCTAAAAAAGTGGAAATTAAATGAACAGAGATAGAGAATAAAACAGTGGTTACCACCAGCACAGTGGGGAAGAAAGAATTAGGGAGATTTAAGTCAAATGATTCAAAGTAGCAGAGGAAAAGGTCTAAAAATGTAATTTACACCATGAAGACTAAAGTTAACAATAATGCATTGTATTTAGGATTTCTGCTTAATGAGTAGATTATAGGTGCCCTTACCACAGTGCAGGGGAGGGGTGGAATGAGTAACTATATGAGATGATGTGTTGACTTGTTTCACTATAGTAATCATTTATATATATATATGTGTGTGTGTATATATATGATTGATATATATATATATCATTTATATATACACATATATAGTAAAACATGTGTGTACCTTAAATATTCACAATAAAATTTATTTTAAAAATAAATGTGTCAAAAGGTAAATTATTAATGAGGATATATTGAAATGCTGATGCTATACAGCCATCAGCATTGTTAAAGATGTGTGTGGTTTTAGATATTATGAATGTGTGCATACGTTTGTGTGTGTGTGGAGAGAGAGAAAAAGAGAAAGAAAAATTATATAAATGTATCTATTATATATATTTGTTATCAGTTGTCAAATTCTGTATGTAGAATGTAAGAAAACTGGGCTATCTCTGGAGATTATCTCTGGAGATAAAAGCTAATATTTTAAAAAGCACAAAGCCTTGTGTAGAAATGCAAAATTATTCTCCTAGTTATCCTGACAGTGACTGCAGTTCTTTCTTATTCAGAATACAGTGACAACTCCTATGCCCCAAAAGAAATTCAAATATTAAACATTTTACAGAAATGTATTGCTGTTTATCTAGACACAGAGCCACTCCAAACATTGTCAGAAATGTTGAATGCTATTAATAGCTCTCTTCTCTAGCTCTCTACTGCACAGATTAACTTACTAATAATCACAACCACGTTTTGATTTCTGCATTGTCTTATCTATGTGTCTTTCTTAGCATCATTTCACTGAGTTTTCCTATTTTCCTCTTTTATTTAAATTTCTCCAGTGTTCTTAGCATCATTTCACTGAGTTTTCTTATTTGCCTCTTTTATTTAAATTTCTCCAGGGAAAGTATCTGATGGAGTTTAGAATCACCATCTAGCCTATTGCTTTCACATTATATCCCATCATGATGTAATGATCAGACACGGAATCCCTGACTTCCATTAAAATTTTAATCTCTGCCCCTAAGAGTTGTTTACAAACAATAAGCACCCTGGGAAGTATTCAGAGCAGAGACTTTATATTTCTTCTATCTTCTTTCTTTAAAAATATTCTGTAGGTGTTTCCTCTGCTCTTGAATAAATTTCTTTTCCAGAATCATAAGTAATAGAGAATTCTAAATTACTTAAATCAAGAAGTGCTTCCTTGAGTTATAAATATTCTTATATGCATTCTAATATATTACTCAAAACAGTAAGCCTTTTTTGTTTATCTCCCCTTACCTTGTGCAGGTTAAAGAAGAAGAAATCATTGGAGTCTTTATTCTTTCTTGCTCTCCTCATTTACCGCTCATTAGCTGCTGTTTCCAACCCCTCCAGGATCAGAGCAAAAGTAAAGAAGAAAGATGAAGGGTATAGAAAATTTCCTACTTGATGGTTACTCTTAAAAGAGCTTAGCAGATTCTGGATTTTGAAAATATTTAAAGCTTACTGTCGCTCTCACGGACCGATTTTGGGCCCATCAGCTAAAACTCCCCTGACGATGTTTATTTTGATGCTCCTTCAGCCAACAATTATTTTTTTCCAGAGTTTGACTTTGCAGCAGTCCACTCCACACAAATACTATGTACTCCCTGAAGATAATCCTCTTAGCTTGGACAGAACATAACTCCGTCCTGGCTCTCTCCAGATAGAGTTTATTTTATAGAACTGAATGTGCTGCTTT